>NC_000001.11:242093212-242244727 GCF_000001405.40 Homo sapiens | reverse complement strand
GTCTTGACCCCTGAAATCTCAGAACAATGGTGAGCTCTGCTGAATTTTTTGCAGTGCATTCTCCGTAAGGAAGCAACACTCTCTTCCAACACCTTACTTCCTAGTAGCCGTTGGAAATGACACCCTGGTTACACATATCCATCCTCTCCATTGTTTCTAAACCCATGCCTCTGCAGGAGACGTATTTGTATCCACTCATTTAAAGCCAATACTTGGCCAAGTGAATGTGAATCTGTTTTTCTCAGCTCAAGTACCCACTGAGGTTTTCCCAAGGATAAATTCCTTTCAGTATCTAATCGGCCTTACGTATCTATTACTCAATTAGATACTACTTTGTGTTGTCTCCTCTTTGTCCCCATGTGTATCTCCTATTTGTCCCATGAACAGGGACCAAGTCTTCCTGGATCACCTCTTCCTCATCATGAGTACTTTGGAGCAGCTTATGTGCCTGCCGGTGAGGCTCCTCTGCAAGAATACATCATCGTATTTAACTGCAGGTTAGGTGGAGGCAAATGAAATGAATCCTCTGATTTCCCATGCTATCACAAAGAATGACTTTTGTGAATATTTTCTGTATCCCAAGATATTCCCTGCCCAACCATAGGCCAACACACTCTATCAGGTAATACGTGCATATATGTCATTAAATGGAAGGCATATTTATTCTGAATTTGTTATGAGACTTGAAAAAGGTCCAGACAATTTGGGAGCTTTCAGGAACAGAGAAAAATTGCTCTTATGCCTTCTAAATCATTTTGATCCAGAAATGGGAATACCAGCTGCTATTCAAAACTACCGTGTTTTTGAGGAACTTATATATTAGTTTTACAATCTAAAAAGTACATGGAATGTGAAAAGACCTGATATTACCGTGTTTCCAATTAAAAAGCAGAAGCTCTACTGAATTTTCAGCAGAATAGTGTTAAATCACTCTGCTAGCTAGAGATGCCTCACACAGAGAGAGGAGCCCTGAGAGCTTTCACTTTTGATTTCATGGGCAGCAGAGAGGCTTCTGTCTATAGTAGAGCCAAGTTGGACAGGATCTGGCCTAGGAAGAGTTTCCCAAACTCCTTGTTCCTCTTCTATTGTCCCTTCCAAAGGGCCCTAAACTAGAAGGCACTGTGTTGACTGAATTGAATTCCTGCCATGTACATAGAACTACCAGTGCTCAATAAATATTTCCTGGCTTGAGTTTCCAGGCAAGATGGGATTCCATCTCTCCTAAGCTGAGAATGGTCTCCTCTGGTAGTAAATATCTCTTCCTGAATTATGTACAGATCTTTCTTTGCCCTCTGGTTCAGTTCTAAGCTCTTCCCAGGATATACCCTATGTCTCCATAGCTGCAATTATAACCCTCCTCATTTAATTTGTTCTTCAGAAGAAACTGAGAATGTCATATTCACCTCTGAGTTCCAAGAAGGAGTTGTACACACTCTAGATCTCTTCTTCAGAAACCAGTTTGGCCGGACTCTCTTTAAACTGCCTTTTTCCACTCAAACCTACCCCTCCTCCCCTCGTCAGCTCAGCCTTTACGCTCGCGTAAGACACAGCAGGCCCTGGCATATGTGTTAAGTGTGTGCCAATCCCCCATTTGTGGCACAGCAAGCTGTCTGTTTGGCAGCCCCAGATGCCTCCTTTCCTTATTTTTACTGTTTTAGGACTCTGTTTAGTTCCTCAGATGAAATTGCCTGAGAAGCCATTTTGTCACATTTATGTCGATTCCTTACTGGAAGGAAAGATATGGGGAATGAGTTTTTCAGAGGCTAAGGAGAGAGAGGTGAGGCACAGACTCTCTAGTAATAAAAACCTGCCTGTAATCACCGGGAGGTGGAATACACATTCAACTGTCAACTTGCTATAACATTTCCAAATTAGAGGATAATAATATGATTTACCAAAAGTTCTTTCACTTTCTAAAACACTCACCAAAAAACCCCACAGATCTTTGGTATATGTGCAATATGATTATAGTTAGTGATAGTTCCAACTAATAGGTGTTATTCTATGTGCTTTACCTATATTCTTATTTAACCCTCAGGCATCCCAGAAAGGAAGATGCTATTATTTTCACTTCACAGATCAGAAAACTGAGACACAGAAAAGTGGAATTATGTGTCTACGATCCGTGATTAATGGGTGGTGAAAGATACCTGTTGTGTTAATTCTTGACAGAGTGCCCCATGCGTGTGATTTTAGCCAATGTTATTGGATCTTTAGCAAAACCTTAGAAAAATGACAAAAACATCCACCCTCTTCTGCTTAGCAACCTTTAAATTACATTTAAAAATGCCTAAGAAATCTGTTTATGGCTTTACTATGTGTACAGTGAAGCCATTTTATGATACATATTTTGAAATTTGGTAAAGCGTGGCTGTTTGCTCTCAGCAAGACAGGCTGGAAAATAGGGGGACAGGCTGGAGAATCCAGGGCACTGCCCCTGGATTGCAGGCGCAGGTGTATATCATGATGAAATGAGACAGACTCAGATTACAATTCTAGCTCTAGGACCTCGCGCAAGTTACTCATTCATCAACTAACTCGTTCACTCTTTTAACAAATGTTTATTGCATTCTTACAATGTGCCAGACGCTGTTGAGGTACTGACGGAAATGACTTGATCTGATTTGGATTTTTTAATGATCATTTTGTCAATTCTCCACATCCTTCTCTCCATCAACCATATGTGTGTGTGTGTGTGTGTGTGTGTGTGTGTGTCTATATATATATATATATATAGTAAGTATATATAGTATATATTTAAGTAAGCATATATATAAGTAGTATATATATATAAGCGTATATATATATACAGTAAGTATATATATATATATATATATATATATATATATATATATATAGTAAGTAAAGCAAGTTCTTTCTTCTTCAAAGCCTTCTTCAATATTTTTAATGCTGGTAGAGGTCCTAGAGGCAAATAGAAATAAGTAAATTTTGTGGCCTATAGGAATATACATATGAATAAATTAGTGGGCTGGCTTCTCCACAGTGCAGATGGAGAAGCCTGTACCTCACCAACCTGCGCACATTTATAACCAAGTGGCCTGTAGAAGTTTCCAGGCCTCTGAATTATTTTTCTCAGAAAGTTTGATTCCACACAGTTTGCTTACCATGGTCAACACAGTGGCAGATTTTGGCATACCACCTTATTTGTCATTTTTCAGCACTACCCAGAACTACTAACCATGCTGTCGAGTCTAGGAAGTTAGCTAATAAGCTTCCCTTTAATGAGATTTGAAAAGGATTGTCAGTTGGAAATGACAGTTGGTATAAGAAAAGAACATAGTGTTCAGAGGTTTTGCTAGGGCTCCTTAATTTTTAGGTATTTGAATTGAATAGAAATTAGGGGGCTTTTTAAGATCTCATAACTTCTGGGACCATGAAAAGATAATCAGCAGGGCTTTTTCAATATGATAAAAACTCATGTAACCTCAGGGTTTTCTACCCTACACAATCTTTGTCTAGCGGGTGATGTTTTCATGGGGAGCTTTCCTGACATCATATCAGTACTACAGGCAGTGCTTGTGGGTCTGACCAACAACTTCAGAAGAAAACCCATACCTTTCTGTAGAACGGTTTAGTACAATTTTACATTTTGTGAGTCTCCTCTCTGATTCTTGGCTCGTCTAACGTAGTGTTCCTCAAACGCTATTTCCTTTTTTAATGAGGCCAACGCAAATTAATTATTAAAATAATATCTCTGCCAATCATGTTTATCTAAATTTCTGTTCTGCCCAGCATTTACCTTGTTGTAGTTACACCTTTTACAGCCACCCAGTTCTCTTCCCAGAATGATTCATGTTCTTTTATTAAGCTGAGCTAGAACTTTATAGAGTCCATGAGGTGCTCCAGGAAGAAAGAGTCAACATACAGGATGAAGAAAGAGGGTAGAGCCATATTAACTGATTTTCTTCCTTTGTCACATACGACTATTTTTCATCCCTGAATTCTCCACATCCTTGTCTCCATCAACCAGCTCTGTACGTCCTGCTGCCTCCACCCTCACCTTGAAAATATTTTTTGTTTTTTTTGCACTACATTTTCCCGCTGTCCTTAAGCCTGAAAATTTTCACTTTCTCTGCCTTTGGCCTAAAACTCCCTGATGTTTCTTACATATTTACCTTCAATTTTTGCAGAACCATGTATCTTCAAAGGGAAAAAAACTCCCTCAGGCCCACCTCACCAAACCTAGAAAGAAGACCATCAAAATTACTAATAAAGCATCAATTCAATTCTGAGGTCATTACATTCGCTATTAAATAATTCACAGGTCATTAACTGCCCAGACTGTGTCTTTCAAGCACAGCTGTTGAAGGAACTAAATACTATAAATCATTAACCATATTAAAGGAAAAGAATGTTGGGGGAGAGCAGTGGAGATGGATAATTAAATCAAACAGTAGTGACACTGAGCAGGATGAAGCAATGGGATTTGGAGGCTGACTCTATGCCAAGAGAAGATCGATATTCCAAGGTAATGCGTGTCTGGGGAGTAAATGGAGCTGCCAAGCCAGTGGAGGCCATGGAAAGACCTGTGAGTTAGGGAAGAAACATTTCTATAGATGTAAGAGTGCTGGCCACTTGCCATGTGCAGTGTAAAATAAAGTCTTGACAGCCAACTCGGGAGGTCTTGAAGAGGTTGACAGTTAAGAACAGTGAAGTAGATGTTTGTTCCTGGTAGAAAATCTAAGGGCCACTCAGAAAAAAATTTTCTTTTCTGCATCCCTTTCTGTAGCCACGAACAAAACACCAGGAGAAGCTGCATGCAGCTAACTTTTGGCAGCCCTTCGTTAAACAAATTTGCCCAAGTACAGTTTTCAATTCCCCAACTCTGACACAAATAGTAATAATAGTAATAACAAATATTTATTGAGTATTAGATGCCCATGATTACCTCTTTTAATTTTCTCAGCAGCTTTAAAAAAACTGTTCTATTATTGTTTCCTTTTTTACGTGGGGCTCTGAGAGATTAAACGACTTGCCCGAGGGGACAAGTTGGTTAAGCGGTGGATGTGCAGACTGTCTGGTTTTAAAAACCCTCCATTTCATCAGAACCTGCTGTGCAGTCAGGCACCTCCCGCTGCTTGTTGGTAGATCTAGATTCTAAGAGAGACAGGAAGAAGGACTTCTTTACACACTTGTATTTGGTCTTGTGTAATCATGTTAATCAGAGTACATATAAGTAAATACAATACATTTCCTCAGCCACACACATAAAGGAAAGATCTT
This sequence comes from Homo sapiens, assembly GCF_000001405.40. Lineage (NCBI taxonomy): Eukaryota > Metazoa > Chordata > Mammalia > Primates > Hominidae > Homo > Homo sapiens. Next base: position 242,239,483 of record NC_000001.11, on the reverse strand, counting down.
CAAAGACCTCCTCAGCTGTCTTTGATAATTCCGATGGTTATAAAATAAAGCACTTAGTGTTAACGGGCTTTAAAACAATTGAATTATGCAAGGTAACTCAAAAAGTGAACCAAGTACAAGTCAATACAACATAAGCTTTCTCTTTTTAGAATTATAGGCTTCCAATCATTCATTCCACCAACAAGGACTGTGTTTCTTCCTGAGCACATGCAGAGACTATGGGACAAAGATGTGATACTGTGCCCACTCCTATTGTTTCTCTGAGGAGCACAGAGATTCTACAGCATGTGCCAGACAATGGGGGATTTCAAATGAATAAAATACAAGTTCCAATTTTCTAGTTTATAACCCAACGGGAGAAATGCAAGACCCCTGAGTGACTACAGTACAAAGAAAGATGAGATTGTTGTTCCTCAAAATGTTATAAATTTTGAATGATCACCTTTTACTTCATGACATAATATAGAACCCAAACAGATTAGGCAAACAGATCTCTGGCCTGAGGCAGCTCCAGGTATCCCACTTGAACTGGGATATGCTACAAGCCTTCCAGTGAGTTAAGTACCCAGACAGAGGATACCAGGGCAGAACCTTCACAATCCTTCTGTGAGCTTTAACGAAAGCCTGCTATGGCTCCCACCACTCTCCCTGAGGTCCCTGCTAGGCCCCAGAGTCATCCAAAGGCTCTGCTCACTCAGATGGCCCCATAACCTCAAATAGCCATATCATTGAACTTCTACACTTGCTCATGTCTCAGAAATTGATTTTTTTAGTATAAGCGTTCTATGACTTCACAAAGTTTCATTTCCCCCAGAGAACTCTCAAAGAGAATTCCTCAGATGTTAGTTTCTTACACACAAAATACTTCCAGTAATTAAGTTTCCCTGCAAAGTTCATCTCTTTTTTCAAAGCTTCTCATTCTTTTACTTAGACCGTGGAAACTCCTCAGCTCAATAGTAGCATGTCTTGAATGACTCTCCATTGCACCTTATAGGTGTGTTTGTCACTCTCTAAGGAGGACTGCTAGACCGCCTGCTAGCAAGGGGCATCATCAGCCCCCAGTCTATCTGCAAGATGCTCCTGCAGCCAACAATAGGGCAGCTGGGCTGACGGGGCAATGGATGCAGAGTATCCATGAAGTGCAGGAAGAGGGTAGCAGGTGTTTCATGCCACAGATCCCGAAACCCTAAATTCAGATGGCTTCTGGCATTAGGTGTTTTATTGTTTTCAGGACTCTGCATTGTCTTGATCAGAATTGCTTTTAAAAGCATACCTGGACATGCCTAGTATTTTCTCACTTGCAAATTACCTCACAAAGTTCTTCACCACCCTCTTCTCTGTTTCTTTCTGAATATGAAGTATATCAGTCTGTGTCCAATCAGAAGACAGAAACCACATAGTAACTTAAACTAAGGGAAATGTAATATAAAGAATTACTTATCTCTGGTTCAAAACTGTTAAGAAAAGTATTTATGTTACAGGAGGGATGAGGGGTGTATGCAAAGCTAGGTAGGGTTCAGACACATCGGAGAATGTGTGATTGCAGCCCTCTGGATTCCAAAGTTGGCTGGTCTGCCTATAGTCTAAGTGTGGCCCAAATGTTTTATGGGATATACTTATGTTAAGGAATTATGGTTATTTATCTGAAATTCAAATTTAACGAGAATCTTGTTTTGTTTTAATAAATCTGGCAATCCTGCCTCTAGGATGCAAGTAAGGCACAGGTGAGCCATAGCAGGTGGCCAGGCATGCAAGGAAGCAGAGGGAATAGGGGGTCTGGCCTACATGGCATCCATGTGGAGAAAGCCATAAGAATGTTACCACCAGCCCAGGCCAGGGCTGCAAGGGCACTGAGGGACTATATCTTTTAGGCACGTGGCTGTTACTGAGCATCACCAGATCTCTTCACACCCACACCAGTGGCCCACCATGCACCAGTTGAAAACAGCAGGAGAGCCCCCTTGCTCCTGCACTGTCCCTCTAGCACCCCTACTAAGAAAGCTCTACCTCATGCTGTCTGTGCAGGAGAAAAGCTGAAAGGAAACCCCTCCCTTATCACAAAGCAGGTATTGAAGGACAGATTTGGAGCTGAGATGCAAGACGTTGAGAACTGGCACCTGAAGCCTTATTCTTTCCTCTACCAACTGCACAAAGTGTTTTTTTTTTCTTAACTCATTTTATAAGGTCATCTTCCTTTCATATAAAATATTAACTCATGTTAATCTTACACAATCTCTGCAGAGTGAATGACACATGATACCAGCTCTGATATTTATAGAGAATCATGGAATTTGGTAACTTATCTACCAAAGCTGTTTGTTTTTTCCTTTGGTGATTTTTAAAGAAAAAAAAAGGGAGAAAGAAATTTAAGAGAATTCCCCTGAGCTGCAGTCTCATAAAACACAATCACACATGCTTTCTGTTCCATGGTTAATGGTGGGAAGACAGTCACTGACACATTGCTTGTCTGTGTGAAAAGAACAATTTTTCAGTATCCTGGATTCTTTTTTATTTTTAATTGGGGAATTAAAGCTGTCAAGTTCTAATTTCAATCAGTTGTGAGCCCAATTCTTCCTTGGCAGGCTTCAACCTGGAAGATAGTTCAAACAGTGATTACATTTTTCTAAGGAGAGGTTTAGAAATGGAGGAATTCTGAAGTTGAAAAAGGAATGGCTACTGGAACACATGTATGGGTTAGCTTAGCCAGGCTTTCTTCCTCTCCCTACAAATGGTGAACCCATATTTTTAGAAGCAGGTGATTTTCCCCCAGGGTATTGTATCTTTGTGATAAAACAGTTTATGAAAACTCTATTCAGAAATTCTGTTTTGTTGTAGAATAAAAGATTTCCCATGGTGCAAACCTCCCTTTAAATCTCTTAATAGTATTTAAATTTTATTGGCTTCTAATTATGATGCTTGTGAGTTTTTTTTTGTTGTTTTTATTATTTTTTTCAAAAGCAAAAGTAATTCATTCTGGAGATGGGAGAAATTGCTTATATTCTTGACTCGCTAGACACTAGACAGAGCTTGATATAAAAAAAGCTATGTAAAACTTTAGGCTAAATGAAAAACTTGTGAAAATAGACATAAAATTCTGTCTGTTTTTCAGGATAGGTCATAGTTTCTGGGAGTTCTTGCATTAGATTGGGAGCCCTTGGAAGCATTTCTTTTAACCCACTGTCAGTCTGTTCAGGCTGCTATAGCAAAATACCATAGACTGGATAGCTTATAAGCAATAGAAATATATATCTCACAGTTCAGGAGGCTGGAAAGTCCAGGGTCAAGGTGCTGGCAGATTCCATGTCTGGTGAAGACCCACTTCCTTGTTCATAGACAGCCATCTTCTCACTGTGTCCTTGTGTGGTGGAAGGAATTGGGGGTCTCTCTGGGGCCTCTTCTGTAAGAGTGCTAATCCTATCCAAGAAGGCTCTGCCCCCTTCACGAATCACATGTTCAGACCGTGGCACCTAATATCACAGTCACTTGTGCATGTGCTTGAGAAATGTGCCACTGAAAGTCATGATTACAGAAAATCGAAGCTTGATTTAATACTTTCTTCCAGGCAAATGAATTAACAGGGATGCAGGAGGCTTTTTCTGAAGGACTTTTCCCCACTCTCTGCACTGGAAGACACGAGAACTACACTAAAATAATGTTCCAGGCAAAGCCTTCTGTTAACAACATGCCTCTCTGTGAGGTGTGTGATGAGGATCTCTGGGCCAGCATAGCCCTTCCTTGAAAGGAAGTTGGACACCAACAGCTTCAAGAACGGCAAGGAGCACAGCAGGTTCCTACTCCAGCTTGCGATGTGATCATTGCCTGAAGCTTCTTCTCTTGTTAATTAGAGAACCTGATTCTTCTAAAGTGTCTCCACTCTCCTTTATAACATACAGACACATGCTTTCCCTCCTTCTCCCCCAAATCCTGATACTCTCATATTCTTCTTACCATTCCCTTCCTTTCCATGGCCCAGGAGCATTTCCCATTTGAAATTTCTGAGTTTCTCAGACTGAATGAAGACTTAGGGACCTTTTTAGGATATACACTGAGCTTTCTGCTGGGTACAGTGAACCGACGTTAATCAGGAAGAATTTAATTTTAAAAGTTGAACATTCATCCCTAGTTCTATCACCTAATTGAATGGCCACAGGCCTATTAAATGAATTGTGTTATTTCTTGGTGACTTATGAAGGGAATACTAAAGGTGATCTAAAGGTGGTTCATTCATTCATTCAGCAGATATCTGTTGAATGCCTCTGGATGTGGCCAAATCAGAACCCTGTTATTACCCTCATGAGGCTTATAACCTAGCAAGGAAGACAAATGCTAAATAAGAAATGACTCTTGTGATGAGCGGTTACAAAAGGGAACTGCACAGAGATCCACGTTTCAGAGCACTTTTGTCACGCAGGTGCTTCAATCTATTAACTCATTTAGAGCTCACGAAACTCTATAACATACTTCCTCTCTTATTTCATCCCCATTTTATAGAGAAGAAAACCAAGGCACAGGTTTGTACAGGGACACTTAGCTGCTAAGTGGCATAAGCAACATTCGAACTAGGAAGTCGGATGTCAGGGCCCTCAAGTCTACACCAGGAACTAACTAGAGATGCCATCCACAGGACTTTTCTTCAGAGCCTTTCTCTCACCTCCCTCCCTCCTACTGCACTCTGCCTTCCCATCCCATCCCCAGTTAGGCTTATTGGCAGAATCAGGGACTGAGAAAGGAAGAAACCAGAGGAAAGATCAGAGCATGTCTGGTGCCCACACGTCCAGGGAGGTGAGCACGTGCCACTCTTGTACCACCAAGAAGCAAGAAAACCGAAGTGGGTCAATAAATTCCCAGCAGGTGGCATCTCCAGGTGTTAAGTTGGACCACCCAAACCCTCTCCCTAGGTCCCCATTTTCTGCTCCATCGTCTGCCTCCCCAGTCCCTGGAGTTCACTCTACTGTTCCACCAGCTCCATGATTCCTGCTGACACCTGGCATTGCCTCTTCACCTTGTCCTGGTCTCATATATGGTTTAACTCTTACCCATTTCTTTTTCTGAAAAAAAAGTTCAATGCCACTGTCTTTGTCCTGCAGCAGGGGTTTGGCAAGAGTGTTGAGATCTGATGGCCATTAAGTTCATAAGATGTGGGGCTCCTTAAGACTGGAGCAGTGCTAAGGAGAACTTAGAAGTCTTAGAGGCATTCAATGCACGGTTGGCTGGATTTTTCTTCAGAGCCTTCAGAGAGGGTTACAAAGAAACCCTCCCTCCTTCACCTCCTTTGAGTTCTGTGATAACTTGAGAAGTAAAGAAATGAATTTGTATCTCATTTGGAATGGAAGACACATTGTAATTTTTTTTTCTGGAAGAAGAATAAATATTGAAACTATTGGTTCTCAAAGGAAGGAACAAATGCGTTAACATTTGGGAGTTTTGTTTAAGTCATGTTAGTCCTGTCTTGCTGCCTAATTTTTCCTTTTGTTATTAATTTGGCTTGGAATGGAACCATCTTTACAGTTTAATTTAACCACATCTCCCATGTAGAAAGGATTGTTCTTCTAGCATATTTCCTTCACAATGCTGGCTCCTTTTCCGCCCCAGTACATTTAGTCTGACTTTGTTGGAGGCCACGACTGATTTCTTTCACTCAGTTATTCCGAGACAGAGAGTGTAGGAGGAGACAGAGAGGGACACACACAGCTAGAGGGGGGCTGTTTGCAAACATTGATTCATTCACTCATTCACTTAGTCAGTCTTATTTTTCATGTGTATTGGACCCAAAAACATGGCCAGCACTATGCTACTTGCTGGAGATAATGAACAAAGCCAAACCTCTGAAGGACCACTTAGCTAGCTTGCTTGCTTCCTTGCTTGCTTCTTTTCTGCCTGCATGCCTGCCGCCAGCCCTCCCTCCCTCCCTGCCGCCCTCACTACCTCCAACTCCTCTCTCTCTCTCTTCCTTTAGCCTTTCTTAAGGAACAATATTGAATAGGGGACTCATTAGAAATCAGTCTCTTCTAATAGTGATTTATTTTAAGCGTTCCCACTTGTAAGAGGAACATCTCTCTAGGGCATCAGAGTCATTCAGATTGTTGTGTGATTCTGAGCCAGAGGCCAGGAGAATCCTGAATTTGAACTTAAAACCCTGGGTCTCACCTTACTTGGTAGCTGTGGGCAACAGGCAAGTCATTCCCTTCCCCTGAGACTCAGTCCCTTATACCTGTCACAGATACCTGACCAAAGAATGACCTAATTTTCTTTCAGTGACCAAGCTCAAATTAACATGAATAAGCCTTTTATTTCATTCATTCATTCATTCATTCATTCATTCATTCATTTGAGTCAGAATCTTGCTCTGTCACCCAGACTGGAGTGCAGTGGCACAATCTCAGCTCACTGCAACCTTGGCCTCCCGGGTTCAAGCGATTCTTCTGCCTCAGCCTCCCAAGTAGCTGGGATTACAGGCTCCTGCCACCACGCCTGGCTAATTTTTTATTTTTTGTAGAGACGGGGTTTTGCCATATTGGCCAGGCTGGTCTCGAACTTCTGACCTCAGGTGATCCACCTGTCTGGACCTCTCAAAGTGCTGGGATTACAGGTGTGAGCCACCGCACCCAGCCAAACCTTTTATTTCTTAGTTTATTTTATTTTAGATGGAGTCTCACTCTGTCATGCAGGCTGGAGTGCAGTGGCATGATCTTAGCTCACTGCAGCCTCCGCCTCTTGGGTTCAAGTAAGTCTCCTACCTCAGCTTCCTGGATAGCTGGGATTGCAGGCACCCACCACCTTGCCCATCTCATTTTTGTATTTCTAGTAGAGATGGGGTTTCATCATGTTGGCCAGGCTAGTCTCGAACTCCTGACCTCAAGTGATCTGCCCATCTGAGCACCACACCTGGCTTATGAATAAGCCTTTTAAAGTACTAAGACTTGATGATTTTTTTCCTTCAATTATATATACTCAAAGAGAAAAAAAAAATGCAGCACATATTTTATGTTCTAAATTAATACTTTCCTAAATAAGGTACATATCCCCCCAAATTACATAAATATATACTCTCCCTTATTTGTGAATACTGTTTAAAAATTTGACCATTTTCTGGAAGAATTTGTACTTTCAATGAGAAAGCAAAATACTTTTATCTTCAGTATTTGCTAGATATACAAATTTTTTTCTTCAGACTATTTTCCAGTTTTCTGTTACTATTAAAATATCTGGTGTAATTCAAGTTAATCTTCGTATGTTATTTTTATTTGTTCATTTCCTCTCTGAAAGTGTTTAAAATCTCTTTTCATTTCCAATATTCTGAAATTATATTATGATATGTGTGTGGGCCTTTTTAAACTTTTGCCAGGGATTGGTGGGCTTTAAAATTTTAAAACGTAGGTCTTTCAGTCCTTGGGAATTTTACTATTATTTATAATTTCTTCTCCTCTGATTTTGAGTATTTCTAGAACTACCGCAATTAGATTTTGAATATCTTAGTTAAGCTGTCTCGTCATTTTTGCTTACATTGGTCATCTTTTTTTCTTTTTCTTTCTTTTTTTTTTTTTCCTTATTTTAAAAGAGATCCCTTTTACTCCCTCTGAGACTTTGAGATATTACTGCCCCTGGATAGGATACATCCTTCTTGCATTAGTTTTTTAGTCATTTCAATTTCTTTGTGTTCACTCTGTCTTATAAGTAAATTATTCCTTTTAAACATCCAGGTTATTATTTCAGCATTCAGTGCTGCCAATCCTATATTAGATCTCCTCTATTGAATTATTGTTTTGGATTTTTAAAAATTTCTAAGCTCATTGCCTTATCCTTAGATTATTCTCTCGAAACATCTTTGTAAATGTCCCGAAGAATTCTTGTCTCTTCCATTTTACCTAACTCAATGGTAGCCATATGTTTTCTCTAGTTGGTGAGCCTCCTCTAAGCTGTTGATGTATTAGATGAGGTGTCATGTAACAATATGAGTAGGTTTGTCATCTCAGAATCACAGCAGATTGGGCTGTGGAATCTTCTGGCATTATTGGACAGCAAATGGTAAGGTAAAGAGAACGATGTTGGCTTTTCCAAGAAAGCAAAGCTCCTCCAAAGCTACTGGATCTCCATCCTCCCTGGCACTGCAACTGTGCTGGGCTCTAAGAGGCTGCCTTCTCTCCGTGAGCACTGGCACCAAAACGGATGCCTCGGAAGTACTCATCATTCCCCACTGTCCTCCTTCGTGGCCATACAGATAGCTGTGTGACCTCAACAGGGAGGAGGAAGAGGGAGGAGGAAGAGGGAGGAAGCCGTAGCACGTGCCCCGGCAGCTACCAACCTCCTAGACCTTATTATTTTTTAATAGAACTAATGAGCCACTGTAGACAGTGTTCTTGCTGATCCGTTTTAAGTGTAGAATGTTTAAATTTTATGCATAATTGAGGCAATATTACTCAAGTAAATGTTATTTTTAAGTAAGTTTATTATTTTTGAGCACAGTCTTTATTTTTAAGCCTAATTGTTTCTGAAAGCAAACATTCCTATAGATAGCTTAACTGTTGGACTAGAAGGTTATATATAATCAAAGCACAGTATTTCCCAAGAAGCAGAATATCCTAGTCATAAGACAAATATATGACAGGGAAGAGACAACTCTTAGAAACCACCCTTGTAGGTCCAAACCTGTAGACTAAAAATGAAGCATCAAAGCAACCTGTGAGAGATTCTACAACATAGTTTTCACAGTATTTGAATAGATATGTTAAAATTAAAAATGCATTGTGCTAAGATTCTTTTTATTTTTACAGCTGGAATACATAATTGATTATCTTAAAAGTTCCCTTACTCTCATTTACTGAATTATTTGAAAGCAACGATGTGTCATGACAGAAGATTTTCACCCTTTCATGTTTCCCCGTTAGTCTTCTAGCCAATGAATTCTAAAATGTTGGTAATTAAATTGATTGAACTGTACTGGTTAATAAGAATTAAAGCCCCCAAGAACAGGCGAACTATGATTTTTTTCATTGTTCACACAAATTAATATTTTCAGAAGAAGAGATTGATGGATAAGATAAATTTCTGCTGCAAACCTTGCTTTCAGGAAATAGGTGAAAACCTTTCCAGAAATCTATAATTATTCATAGTGTTATGTTTCCCTTTGATATATGCTTGAGGCTCATTAGCATTCTTTTCAAAAGCTAGTGATTAATTTTATAATGCTATTAGGGATGCATATGTATGGGATAAATTATATTTTAGAAATAAGATAATGTTAAATACTGAATTAAAATAGTGGTTGCATTACAGGAAAGTGGTAGACATATGGGATTAGGCATAAACACGCAGCTTTAATGCAGGGCTTCTCACCCTTGAAGCTGTCAACATTGTGAGCTGAATAATTCTTTGCTGTTTGGGGGCTATCCTGTGCAATGCAGGATGTTTAGCAGCATCTCTGGCCTCTACCGACTAAATACTAATAGCATCCCCCTGACAGTTGCGACAAGCAGAAATGTCTCCAGGCATTGCTGCACATCCCCTGGGGATGGGGCAGTGGGTAGCTTGGGGAACTGAATGGACCCTAATTGAGAAACACAGCTTTTTTTTTTTTTTATCAATATTTTTTTAGAGGTCTTACCAGTGACATAGGGCAAGGAAAACAAATACATTTTGGAATAGAAGAAATAAAATTGCTTCAGTTTGTAGAGGCAATGATATTCTAGGAAAAAAAGAATCCCAAGGAATCTAGAAAGCAAATACAAGAAGTAATAGCGGGCTTAGGAAAGTTACAGTGTATGAGACTCCTAAACAAAAGTCAATTATATTTCTCTTCACTCGCAGCAAACAAATGAAAATAAAAATAAAAAAGCTGTTCCATTCATGATAATGTCAAAAGTCATACAAACAATAACAAAATGCTTAGAGAAGATCAACAAATAAATGAATATATATGCCACATACATATGTCAATTCTTCCCAAATTGATCTATAGATCCAACTCAATTTCAACAGGATATGCATATATGTATCTGTATGGAGAAACACAGCTTTAATAGTAGTACATTTTGGTGAGGTTCTAGTTTTTAGGGTGGAAGATTCACAAGTATCCATTTTATTATGCTTTATAATCTACTTATAAGTTACATACATTCTCTTGAAGGTATACGTGTTTTATCATCAAACATATTAAAGCTGCTGGTAATATGCGTTTAAAACGAGGCTTACTGGAAATGAACTTGGAGATAAATTCTGTTTGATTTCATCATGGGGATTCATGGGGAATGTGGAACTTTATTTTCCATTTTTTAACCACAGTGTACTAGCATGTTTTCTTTTGTGCCATTTTGATGAGTATTTTGACAGGATGTTTATTTTGAATCTTCAGCCTTTGAGTCATTTACTCATGCAACCTGTGCAACAGGCTCTTTGCTAAAAATTGCTTGAGTTTTTAGGCCACAACTAAACAATTTTAGTCTAATATTAAAAGCACACATATAAAAGTTGAGGGACTTCAAAAATTATGTATGCAGAAAATAAAGTACAACATTATCTGGTTAATACCGTAAGAATAGCTTAGGAAAGAAGGAAAATCCTTCTGAAACAAGCTTAAATGACAAGTAATTTATGCCAAAGATTTAGAGGAACTCACAGAAAGTCATGAAACTGGTTTGAGTGGGACAGTGGTGGACTCCCCCGCCATTTTCTCATTCATCATTTCTCTCTGTTGCGAGGACGAGGACAGTGTCTTTTTCACTATGGTTTGCTCTCTCCTGGTGCTCCTCTTCCTCTTCCTCTCCTCTTCCTCTCTCTCTCTCCTTCCTTCCCTCCCTCCCTACCTTCCTCTCTCTCCCTCTCCCTCCTTCCCTCCCTCCCTCATTCTCTGAAGCTTGACTTCTCTTATCTTTCTATTATGTGGACTTGGACAGTCATGCCAACCTCTGTATGTGTATGACTTCCCAACACAGCTGCTTTTAAGTAACTTACTTTGTGGCTCAATTTTGAATTCCCAAAAGAAGAAATTTGGATGGCTCAGCTTAGGTTAGTGCCCACATTTGGTCCAATCAGCTGTGACCAAATAGAGACTACATGTTTTCACATGGGACCTAGGCTTTCCCATTCTGTGTCCTGCGGGTGCCTCGGGTACTATTAAAAGGACGTGTCGTCAGGGAAGAAATGATGCATGTATACGCTGCACATAACATCAACTCACAAATACCCTGTGAAGATTTTGTTTCCTCTTTACGAGGGAGACAGAGAACTGCTAGATATATGGAAGATAGATCTAGTTTATATCAATTCAAGAGTAGGTAGAATTAAACTTTCCTTATCTTCACTGGAATTAAATTCTTCAACTAGTTGTCTCCTTAAAGTTGCTCATTTCCTCCCATCTTCCTCGTGTGCAAGTGTAATGTGTAAATGTGAACACGCCATTGTTAAACCTCTTCAGAATCTAATATTCCATTTTGATAACACTAGTTATGAAACTAGTTTTAACCTAGAAACTAGTGTTTAACCTAGAGATAACAATAAGCTTCTGGAGAAGATTCGGAACGGAAGTGATAATAAATAATTCTTTAGCAATTTTACATGGGAATGGGTATCCTGGGATGATGCATTAACTACTCCTACTCAACAAGTATCTGATATTATCTGTGAATTGTTTCTAATCAAAATATGAGTCTGGGAATTTTTAAGTTGATCATAAAGGAGTAGAATCACAAACACAGTCATGTCCTAAAAAGCATGTAACAGACGCACATCAAAGGATGGTCCCCACAGATCTGTACTGTAGGAAATTGGTGGTGACATTTAGCCCTACCCATGTAATATCATCCACACATAAAGAACAGTGAAGAGGGCTGGGCACGGTGGCTTATGCCTGTAATCCCAACACTTTGGGAGGCCGAGGCAGGCAGATTGCCTGAACTCAGGAGTTCGAGACCAGCCTGAGCAACACAGTGAAACCCCATCTCTACTAAAATATAAAAATTAGCAGGATGTGGCGGTGTGTGCCTGTAGTCCCAGCTACTTGGGAGGCTGAGGCATGAGAATTGCTTGAACTCATGAGGCAGAGGTTGCAATGAGCCAAGATCGCACCACTGCACCCCAGCCTGGGTGACAGAGCGAGACACTCTGTCTCCAAAACAAAACAAACAAACAGAGCAGTGTTGAGGCCAGGTGTGGTGCTTATGCCTATAGTCCCAGCTACTTATGAGGCTATGGCTGGAGGATCGCTTTAACCCAGGAGTTCAAGGCCAGCCTGAGCAATATAGGGAGACCATCTCTTAAAAAAAAATAAAAATCAAAATGGTGAGGGACTCTGAAATCTGACTATAAAGCAAACATTAGTGTCCTCAAAAAGAATAATCTATAGATGAGATAGTTACTAACTCTACCACATGGGATTTGGAACAGATCTATGATAAACAAGTTTAATGCTAGAAAGTCTTGGTAGAGGAAGGCTCTCAAGAATATACTCCTTTTAAAATGTGTGTACATACAATCAACTTGATTCTTCAAAGTAGTAACATTAATTTTCAATTCATCATGGCATTATACTTTTTTCTTTAAAAAAATTTTAATAACCTTTTAGTTAATATTTTCATTTTCTCTCTTAAATTTTAACACAGAATTATTTCCATTGAAATACGTAAGCACAAAATAAAGTACGATATTTTGGTTACTATCCTAAGAACAGTTTAGTAAAGAAACAGAACCCCTCCAAAACCAGGGACATTCTCTATTAAATTTCAATGAAGCGTCTCTGTTAAAGCTCAAAGGAGTTATAATGAGTAATTTGGAGTTTCCTGATTTTTAACATTTGACTTCCCAAGAAGCGGGTAAAACCTGGAGGTTAGCCGCATCACTTTATCTTGATTAGTACGACCAACTGGGACCTGATTTTCACATCATCAGTTAGCATATTTGTAGCTTAACATTTCTAGTTCTGAACCTTAGCCTTGTTTGTTGTTTAAGATTTAATTAGGACTGCCTGGATAGCATGAAAGTATTTTATAAAGCAACAATAGAAAGGATATACTCTTGATTTATCACTTTTTGGTTTTGGCATCAAAAAAGATTATTTTGAGTTACTAATAATGCCTATGAATCATCAGTTAAACAAGTAGACTGCGGGGCCGAAAGTAGGAGGATCTGCAGAGATCTGGACTCATCACCAGCAGCTGTGCGCAGCCACTAGGCCATGGTCCTGACGCGTCACATTGTGATGTATGCATCTCTCGGTTGACATCCGGAGATCTCTGGGCAATGGGTCAGGGGCTGCACACAGAGAAACTGACACATATTTTTTTTCCTGTTAGAAAAGAAATCTATAAAAGCAAAAAATGGTTAATCATACTTAATATACTTTCAAAGCTGTCTTAAAAATATATTTAATTAAATGAAGCCAGATTTAAAGATATTTTCTGATCTCAGAAGTCTATAATATTTAAAGGAAAAACTTTATATAAATGTAGTACCAGGTTCTGGCAAGGATACAGAATGACTTAGACTAACAGATATTGCTGGTGGGAATGCAAACTGGTACAGACGCTTTGGGTAAACAGTTTGGCAGTTTCTTATAAAGTTAAACATATATTTACCATATGACTCAGCAGTCTCACTCCTAGGTATTTACCCAAGTGAAATGAAAACTACATTCTTGCAAAAATGTATGCATGAGTGTTTGCGGCAGCTTTATTTGTCATCACCAGTAAGTGGAAACTACCCAAATGTTTCTCAACTGGAGAATGGATAAGCAAACTGTGGTGCCTTCCATACAATGAAATATCACTTAACAGCAAAGAGAAACAAACCACTGTTCCACACTACAGCACGAATGTGTCTCACGTGCGTTATGTGTGGTGCATTCCATACCATGAAATATCACTCAACAGCAAGGAGAAACCACTGTTCCACATGACAGCATGAATGGGTCTCACATGCGTTATGTGTGGTGCATTCCATACCATGAAATATCACTCAACAGCAAAGAGAAACCACTGTTCCACATGACAGCATGAATGGGTCTCACATGCGTTATGTGTGGTGCATTCCATACCATGAAATATCACTCAACAGCAAAGGGAAACCACTGTTCCACATAACAGCATGAATGGGTCTCACGTGCGTTATGTGTGGTGCATTCCATACCATGAAATATCACTCAACAGCAAAGAGAAACAAACCACTGTTCCACACGACAGCATGCATGGGTCTTACATGCGTTATGTGTGGTGCATTCCATACCATGAAATATCACTGAGCAGCAAAGGGAAACAAACCACTGTTCTACACAATAGCATGAATGGGTCTCACATGCGCTATTTGTGATGCATTCCATACCATGGAACATCACTCAACAGCAAAGAGAAACCACTGTTCCACATGACAGCATGAATGGGTCTCACGTGCATTATGCTAAGTGAGAGGCAGGATTCAGAGGGCTGCATACTCTATGACTCAATTTGTATGACATTCTTACAAAAGGAAAACTATAGGCACACACGCAAAAAATCCTGCTGCGTAGTTGCCAAGGGCTGGGGTTTGAAGAGGAAGATACTGCAAAAGAAGCCTGGGGACGATGACACTGTTTTGCATTCTGATTGCGGTGATGGTCACACGACTCTCTTTCAAAACCCTTATATGCTCAAAAGGGTGAATTTTACTACAAGTAAATTGTACCTTAATATAAATGGAAAATAATTTTCTTAAAACCTGTGGTTTTCTAATGGTAATTGGATTTAAAAACTGTCACTAACCTACATATTAGTTTTGAACATATTAACTATTTGGTAATGTGAAGCCTTTGTTGGCTCTGAATAGTCTAGCACAGAATTTTAGAAAAGGCTTCCTGTGAGCTGCTGATTCCCATGGAGAAAAGGAAACCAGTAACAGGACAAAGGGGCTGGTTTTCAGCATTCTTTTGCATGTGGATACTAAGCTTGAATAACCCCCGTGAATATTGACGAGCGGCTCTCATAAATTACTCCATGTTTCTTATGCATAGCTCTTGCTGTCATTTTAACATAATAACTCTTTAATATATAGGATCCCTGTTTTCTGGGTCATAAAAATAACTATAGAAAAAAAATCTGAAGTGTTTCTGTTAGTGCTCATAAAATTGTGGCATTCTATATATTTTTAAAAAATATGTGACATTGTAAAAAAAAGGCCTAAAATTATTTTAGAAGTAGAAATTAAAGTCATCTCTTCTATAAAAATTTGTCAAATTTTTAATGTAAATGGAAAGAATTTGATTTATTTATTATATATTGTCTGTATTTGCATAAGTGTAATGCATGAAAAATTACTCTGCCCTTTTATCTAAATGTTGAGGCCTGTATTGCATGTCTTTGCTAATTGCAATTCTAACACAACAATATGAAATAAACTCAAATTTAGGTTATGCACATAAATGCAGTAAGTGACATATTATATACTTTTTAATCATTAAATATGTTTTGTAGTCAGACAGCATTATATTTTAACCATCGCTTCCTAATACGTATTACATAAAGACCCAATAGGATGAAAATTATTTCTATAACCAACAAACAGATATATTCTAAAAGTGCACATAAATATAAATTCTCTTAAGTAAAATATTGAATAAACTGAGGGACATGTTAGACATGACTCTCTCTCTCTCTCTCTCTCTCTCTCTCTCTATTTATATATATCTACAGCTATTAATAAAGATAAAAGCATATGTCTTCAGAGATAGATGGAGCATCAATATTTAGATAGAAAAACAGGTAATTTGCAATGGGGAAGTGATAGTCCATGAACCATAT
The DNA here is from genome assembly GCF_000001405.40 of Homo sapiens. Taxonomy (NCBI): domain Eukaryota; kingdom Metazoa; phylum Chordata; class Mammalia; order Primates; family Hominidae; genus Homo; species Homo sapiens. The sequence goes on along the minus strand of NC_000001.11, from coordinate 242,223,725 downwards.
ACAAAAATATATATTTTTTCAGATGTATCATAAATATTTTCAGTGGATTTTCTTATACCACATACAGGAATTTATCGTGTCCTAAAATAGAGAAAATGAAGCATGCCATGTAAGACTGTTGTAACATAGCTATCTTGGCACTGGGCACACAGGTATTCAATAAATGGGAATTACTAGCATTACATATTGCTTGATCTCTACACACAGCTCTGCTGGGGCCCTGGGCAGACTGTGAAGCCATTTACTATCTTTCCTGCTCTCCGGCCTTCACTTGGGGTTCCCTGATACAGCAGTAAGGACTCCACTTTCTGATCTCTCAGCTCTTTGGTGCCCCTTCTGTCTGAGCAGCAGGACTGGAGCAGATCCTGATCATTTTAAAGATGACACTACTGTGCTCCAAATGTTTGTGTACCCCCAAATTTATGTGTTGAAATCCTAACCCCCAGGGTGATGGTATTAGGAGGTGAGAGATTTGGCAGTGACTGGGTTAGGAAAGCAGCAAAACCCTCATGAATGGGATTAGTCCCCTTAGAAGAAGAAGTCAGAGAGAGATCCTCATGTTTTCCACCACATGAGGACACAGTGAGGAGGCACCCTCTGTGAACCAGAAAGTCGACCTTCACTAGACACCGAATCTGCCAATGCCTTGATCTTGGACTTCACAGCCTCCAGAACTCTGAGGGATACATTTCTGTTGTGTATGGTGTTTTGTGATAGCAGCCCAAATGGACTAAGACAGTATTTTAGTATGCCTGAATTTGAATCAGTCACTTGAGGTCTTTTATCCCTAATTTTACATAGCACAGCATCTGGTATATATTAGATATTCAGTAAAGCTTTGTCAAAGGAATGATACTTTTCCTTTGTAAAATAATTTTAGGCATCATTAAGTAGCTGCAGAGGCTCTGGCTGGAGGGTTACACACGACCATCATCTCTGAAGTCAAACTTTCTAAGCTAAATTGCAAAATAACATGGTACTTTTAGAGCAGTGTAGATGGGGTGTGGGATGGAGAGGTACAAAGAGGTCGTCCCCAGTGGACTCTTCAGATTGACTCAGTGCTGCCTTGGGGCTGGGGCTGCAGGGGACCTGTGTGACAACAGATGAGGACTCCAAGAACTCATAAACAGTCTGATGCAAATGGCAACTGGCCACGGGGCCGAGTTTCAGACACAGTGTCCCACGCCAGGAGATGAGGGCCAGTCAGTGTCACAGAGGGTTCGAGGAGTTTCTAGGCAGAATAAGAGAGCAGGGGAAGGCTTGACAAGGTGCATGCTGACGTGGAATCTGAGGCCAGCACCACGGTCACCTTCATTCTGTTCCTCCCAGAGACAAGAGAAGGTGCTTCCCTCAGTGCTGACCAGTTGATTGCTATTGGAAAGCATGGCCAGGTAAAGTGACCTGGGTCTCTGTTATGGGTTGAATTGCATCCCCCAGAAAGATATGTAGAAGATGTAATCCCCAGAACTGCAGACTGTGACCTTACTTGAAAATGGGGATTTTACAGATGTAATTAGTTAAGATCATACTGTAGTGGGGGGCGGGACCTTCATCCAACTTGAGTAGTGTCCTGATAAGAAGAGAAAATAGAGGTGTAGGGAGAAGATGCCATGGGACAACAGAGGCAGAGATGAGAGTGCTGCAGTTACAAGCCGAGAAACCTCAGAGATGAATGGGCACCACCAGAAGAGGCAAGGAAGGATGCTTCCCTGCATGTCCCAGAGGAAGTTTGGCCCTGCTGACACCTTGGTTTTGGACTTCTAACCTCCAGAACGGAGGATAAGTTTCTGCTGTTTTAAGTCATCCAGATTAGGGTACTTTGTTATAGCAGACCTAGGGAACTAATCCCGTATCTAAGGACAAATGCTCTGTTTATCTACTGAGGAACACTGTCTGCTGTGTCTGTGGGGCCGGCCACACCTCCATGCAGATTTGGGTCTCTCCATACCTGCCAGGGTAACTACCCATTTTAGATATTCAGATTCTGCCATACCCAAGTTCCTCCTCTGGGATCTGCAACTCTTTTTTGGATGTTACTATTCCAGGATGGCTGGAGGCAGAGAAACATGTGCCCGCCACTTGGAAGACAAAGAAACTGCTCTACCCTCAGAGAAAATCTGCCTGGGTGCTGTCTTCCCCTCAGAGATTCTCTCCCAACCTCATAACATCTCTTTTCATCCTCCTGCCACAAGGAAGCTAGATGCATTGTTTACATTTTCCTAAGAGTTAAGCATTAAGTTCATAGTGTAAATTACTCTCCTTCCTTTCTGATATGCTGAAATGTATCCTTCTGCATACAGTCTTATGTGTGCCTGTGGTAATGAAGACTCTGACAATGAAGTGTGCCCCTGGAATACATCGTCTTCGTTAATAATAAATACCTGAAGACACAATAGCTTAGTTCATTAAATATATGCATATAGGTCTGTTATTTTAAAGGGAATAGACCTTTAGCAGAAATTTATTTAAATACCCTTGCATTGAATGGACTGTATGCTCCTTTTGAGAGGTTTGTAAATGCATTTGAAGCAGTAATGCATAAAGGCTTGACACTGGATCCTACCACATGAAGCCTAAAACAATTGGTCACATTCAGCTCTTCAAATATATTTTTGGCATTAACAATAGTCTGAGTGATTTAGTTAACCATTCAAGGTTGCATTTCAGTAAAGCTTGAATAATCATTGCTTAAATTAAGAACTGTCAGATACCTGTAAGCTCAGCACTTTGGAAGGCCGAGGCGAGTGGATCACTTGAGGTCAGGAATTCGAGACCAGCCTGGCCAACATAGTAAAAACCCCTCTCTACTAAAAGTACAAAAATTAGCCGGGCATAGTGGCACATGCCTGTAATCCCAGCTACTCAGGAGGCTGAGGCAAGGGAATCACTTAAACCTGGGAGGTGGAGGTTGCTGTGAGCTGAGATTACACCACTGTACTCTAGCCTGGACAACAGAGTGAGACTCTGTCTCAAAAATAAAATAAAATAAAATAAAATAAAATAAAATAAAATAAAATATAAATTAAAAAAAATACTATCAGATAAAGATGAAGAAGAGACCAAACCCAGATTAAATAATAAAGGGAAGGAATGAAGAAGTAAAAGCAAGTGAAAGGTTCACAGGATGAAAAATGTATAGAAAGCATAATGAGGCCAACGTCTTATTGAGGAGAGCTGTGATACTGAACAAGACTGACCCTTATATTGATTGCAAACTGTATTAAAATTACTCAGAAAAGAAAACTGCATATGGTGTACCTATCTCACCGTCCAGATGGTAAGTGGTGCAGCCGGGATTTCAGTACAGATCTGAGTTGAGAAGCCGTGGTCTTGTCACTATATGCAAAACCTCCTCTGCCATATGCATAGGAAAAGGCATTTCCCCTGGCTTTTTCTTTTCTTTTCTTTTCTTTTCTTTTAGTTTTCTTTGTTTTAGGGAACAAAATAATACCTTGGGGACCTTCTCTCCACCAAACTAACATAAATATTTAGCTTTCCTAAATGTCAATTGGGACAAATGGTGAACCATGAATATTTCCACTGGTAGGTGACTGACAGCCCAGGCAGGGCCTTGACGCAGAGGCTGACCAGACTGTCCTTGAACTCCTAGGAGCCGAGGTGACGTACATGAACATGACCGCTTACAACAAGGGCCGGCTGCAGTCCTCCTTCTGGATCGTGGACAAACAGCACGTGTATATCGGCAGTGCCGGTTTGGACTGGCAATCCCTGGGACAGGTAAGCTTTCTACGTTATGTAAACTCAATGTTCTGTCACCCTCAAAGCGACCACCTTCATAAAGCACGCTACTGCAGATAAGGATCCTAAAACCTACAGCATTTATTATTCTTAACTGTAGTTTTAAGAGGCTCATCTTCCTTTTATGTGAAAGGATAAACCTTTGCTTGTCAGGATCATCTTACAAAAAAAAGTAAAAACTGTTATTGCTTCAATGCTTTTGTAATTCATAGGCTGCTCCCAGATTCCTGAGAGCAGGTTGCTATGTAATTGACATCACCCAGACCTATATTTTCAGGATGATATTACATCATCTATGAGACAGGGGGAAACACAAAAATTCAGTAGAGAGTAATATGTCTTAGGATAGTAATCATTTGGGTTATTTCTTTAATCTCAAGATGAAGATGTTATCTTTCTCTTAACAAATGATTAACTTCAAATATGTTGAAAATACATTTTCACACACTTAGGATTTTTATGCATTTATTTGTGTCAGAGGCAATCCACAGAGGATTACAAAATCACCATCTTTCCATTAGTCATCCAGCGACAGGAGGTTCCTAGTCATTGGATGCTTAGGAAGACTAGCCAACCTTCTCAGAACATCTTTTTAAATCAACACTCCAGCATACTCCCCTCCTCTTCCTCTCCACACCTACACACAGATATTGTCTCCTCCCCGGCCCATTATTTCCCCACAGCTCTCAAAATTTGGGATCACGCTATTATACTTAATCATCTATCTTAAATTAGTGTTCCTTTCTATTATGCTCAACTATGTGGAATTTTTCTTGGTCTACCTCAGTGTGACATAAAGCATTGCTTAGCAGGACCTATGCATTAGAACAGATTTTAATTTACCAAAGTTGAGGCTAACAATTACAAGAAGAATTATACATTTTCCAAGAGTTAAACCTATGTTATCAGCTTTATAGTTTGTGAAGTTGTCCAGTGAAATCAATGATTATTGTTATCAATCATTACCTTACATTTATGGTAAGTGGAAGAAATAATTAACAACAATAACAGTTTCAATGAATTGAGGCTTTCTCTATGCTGGGCATTTTTCTACGCATGTAAAGAGTATAACCTCATTCCATTTTCACAGTAATTCTTTCTTGGAAATACTCCTCTTATAATTTTATCTTGCAAAGGAAGAAGCTGAGACATAGGTAAGTAACTTACCCAAGGACACTTTTCAGGAAGTGGCAAAGCTGGAACTCAAACCCAAGCCATATAGCTCTAAACACCTCACTCTTATTTCACTAATCTTTTAAAATAAATACATTTAGGAAAAAATTATTTTCTTTATCTTTCTGGGGTGCTAAGTTACAGATTTTCTCTGTCACCCTTTTCTTTAACAAAATCTAACAATGCAATTAATCAAGAAACTTTTTACTCACTGGAATCTTTCCAATTGCAAATCCATAATGATATGGTGGTCATAGGATGCCAACTACTCTTGCTCAATACTTGAGCTCTGCAAACTCACTAATCTCTGGATTGAACTAGGAAAACTAGGAAGTCAGTATGTGTTTGCTTCTATAGACATACAGCAAAGATATTTCATCTTTAGTTCCAGACCACTGCAATAAAGCAAGTCACACAATTTTTTTGGATTCCCAGTGCATATAAAAGTTACCTTTACACTATACTGTAGTCTAAGTGTGCAGTAGCACTATGTAAAAACAAATGTGCATACCTTAATTTAAGAATACTTTATTGCTAGAAAATAACAATCATCTGAGCCTTCAGATGCAGATGTAAGATTTTTGCTGGTGGAGGGTTTTGCCTCAATGTTGATGGCTGCTTACTGATCAGGGTGGTGATTGCTAAAGGCTAGGGTGGCTATAGCAATCTCTTAAAATAAGACAGCAATGGAGTTGGCCACATCAATTGACTTCCTTTCATGAAAGATGTCTCTGTAGCATGTGGTGCTGTTTAAAAGCATTTTATCCACAATAAAACTTCTTTCAAAATTGGAGTCAGTCCTCTCAATCCCTTCCACTGCTTTATCAACTAAGTTTATGTAATATTCTAAATCCTTTTTATTTCAACAATGTTCACAGCATATTCACTAGGAATAGATTTCATCTCAACCACTTTCCCTTGCTCATTCATAAGAAGCAACTCCTCATACATTCAAGTTTTATCCTGAGATTGCAGCAATTCAGCCACATCTTTAGGCTCCCCTTCTAATTCTAGTTCTCTTGTTATTTCCATCACATCTGCAGTGACTTCCTGCACTGAAGTCTTAAACCCCTCAGAGTCATCCATGAGGGTTAGAATCTACTCCTTCCAAACTCCCGTTAATGTTGATATGTTGACCTTCTCCCGTAAATCCCAAATGTTCTTTTTTTGAGATGGAGTTTTGGAGTTCTGCTCTTGTCGCCCAGGCTAGAGTGCAGTGGCAGCTCACTGCAACCTCCACCTCCCAGGTTCAAGTGATTCTCCTGCCTCAGCCTCCCAAGTAGCTGGGATTACAGGCATGTACCACCACGCCCAGCTAATTTTTGTATTTTTTAGTAGAGATGGGGTTTCACCATGTTGTCCAGGCTGGTCTCAAACTCCTGACTTTTGGTGATTCACCCACTTCGGCCTCCCAAAGTGCTGGGATTACAAGTGTGAGCCACCGTGCCTGGCCAACAAATGTTCTTAATGGTACCTAGAATGGTGAAGCCTTCCCAGAAGATTTTCAATTTAATTTGCCCAGATCTATCAGAGGAATAACTGTCTATGGTAGCTATATAGCCTTCCAAAAGACTTGAAAGTAGAAATTACTCCTTGATCCCTGGGCTGCAGAATGAATGTTGTGTTATCAGACATGTAGACAACATTCATCTCCTTGCCCATCTTCGTCAGAGCTATTGGGTGACCAGGTACATTGTCAATGAGCAGTAATATTTTGAAAGGAATCTTTCTTTCTGAGCAGTAGGTCTCAACAGCAGGCTTAAAATATTCAGTAAGCCATGCTGTATTCAGCAGTACTATCATCCCAGCTTTGTTCCATTTATAGAGCACAGGCAGAGTTGATTTAGCATAATTCTTAAGGGTCCCACAATTTTTATGATGGTAGATGTGTATTGGCTTCAACTTAAAATCACCAGCCTCATCAGCACCTAACAGAGTCAGCATGTCCTATGAAACTTTGAAGCTAAGCATTGAATTATCTCCTTTCTAGCTATGAAAGTGTGTGGGGGTCTGACCCACAGACCCTAACTCAGTGATGGATGAGAGACATACGCTGACATAGATATTTTGCCTGTCAGTTTGGCTGAGGGTCCAGGCCACTCACAGACACCGAGGAAGGTGCTGTAAAGAAGGTGCTGTAAAGAGTCGTGGCCCTGAACAGTCAGCGAAGCTTGCATTTATTCAGTATAGATTAAATGACAAAGGTCTTGAGTAAACAACACTAGAGGGTAATTGACATTGCTGATTTCCCAAGTAGAGAGCAATTATGCACCTGAGGTTGATCAAAGGTTGGTCTTAGGACCACATGAGTAAACAAGCCATTTAGATAAAATAATCTACATTCCTTTGTATCTGTGCCCCAAGCTATTAACTCAAGTTAAGGATTAGGCTGCTTTTAGCCATAACCCTATCCTGAAACTTTTGCAAAACCTTCCAGCCTTCCAAGGTTTGTGTCTCTATTCTATAACTTCATCTTAAAATTTTTCCCACCAGCCTGACTGAACTCCCACATCTCCCCCTTTTCTGTTTTTTGCATTGGGTTCTGTTGACTGAAGCATACAGCTGTGTGCAGCAACAGGTCTGTCGGGCAAGGCGGTCATTGCTGTTATTCTGACTTTGCATCCTAGAATTAGCAAATAACATAAGACAATCATGAGTATAATTAGCAACATTCTTTTCCAATCAAGGAGTGACCTGCAGCATTACTTGGCACTTCAGTTTGATGTGTGCTGTTACTAAGGAACCCCGCTGGGGGTATGTTAACCCCTTCCAGCCAAGCAGTCATGTTGTTAGAAGCGGGGAAGGGAGTGTCTGCCCAGATAACAGGGCAGATTTTCAGATAAATCTGAAAAAAGGCAGATTTAGAAGATAAGCTTAATAGAGTGTAGCAGGTACAGGTAGCAGGTAAAGTGAGAGAATTTAAAAAGATTAATAAAACATAGTAAGGAACAATTATCTGGAGTGAATGGTGTCTGTGTCCAGAGCAGGATTCGCTCAGTCTTCTGACTTGTCTTCTTCAGCATTCTGTCCAGGGCCTGTGTTGTCCAAGGAAGGTGCATTGTCTGGGGCTGTGGGTCCTGTAGGGTTATTTTCTTCATTTCTGGTACCGGGTTAGGTCCTAGCCATGCCATGCTATGGTTTGATGCGTTGTGCTAGAATCCAAAGAGGACCCGAGGGGGTGTGGAAGCATACCTTCTTCCCCATGTTAATAATTCATTTGGACCACACCATACATTACTGTTCACATCTTTCCATAAAACTGCAGGTTTTATGTCTTGAGAGGTTTTAGCAAAGTGCATATCTACAGCTGATCGAAATGTGTCATCTAAATTTTAAAAATTAAGGGTAAATAAGGTTTGTGCCAATAGTGTTGCCGGGTCTTTACCCATATTCCCCCCTTTTTGTTTTTTGAGCATATTTTTAAGAGTTGAACGGGCATGTTTTACTATGGCTTGTCCTTGGGGGTTATACGGGATGCCTGTGGAATGTTGGATATTCCACATGTGACAAAATTGTTGGAATTGTGAATTGGCATAAGCTGAACCATTATCAGTTTTAATTTTTGTGGGCCATCATATAAATGCAAAAGTTAAAAGAAGATGTATAGGCTGGGCACGGTGGCTCACACCTGTAATCCCAGCACTTTGGGAGGCTGAGGTGGGCAGATCACAAGGTCAGGAGATCAAGACCATTCTGGTTAACACGGTGAAACCCCGTCTCTACTAAAAATACAAAAAAAAAAAAAAAAAATTGGCCAGGCACGGTGGCAGGCACAAGTAGTCCCAGCTACTCTGGAGGCTGAGTCAGGAGAATGGCGTGAACCCGGGAGGCAGAGCTTGTGGTGAGCCAGGGTCTCGCCACTGCACTCCAGCCCGGGCAACAGAGCAAGACTCCATCTCAAAAAAAAAAAAAAAAAAAAAAAGGTGTTTAATGACATATCGAGTGGACTCTCAAGGAAGAGCATGTGCACTAATTAGATGAGTGTTGGTATCAATGGCTAAATGTACACATCTTAGTTTTCCAAATTCAGGGATGTAACATCTGTTTGCCATAACTAATTAGGTTCTAATCCTCTAGGGTTAACACCTGTTGAAGGAGGGGACGTGCCTGTGAGCTGGCAATCTGGGCATTGTAGGATAATTTGTTTAGCCAGTCTCTGGGTAAGTTGAAATTGTTTAGATAAGTTTCTCCAGTGTTGGTGGAAAAATTGATGCAATTGCATGGCTTAGTCAAGCAGTGATATCATAACCTGAAGGTCTGCTTGATTATTGCCATAAGCCAATGGGCCAGGCAGTGAGCTGTGGGCTTGACTGTGTGTAATAAAAACAGGATGTGTACGTTGATCTAGCAATTGCTGAAGTTGAAGAAAAAGAGCACACAGGGTGGGCTCCAGAGTGGACTTAATTAGGGCTCTCTCAAGGTTCTGAAATAAATCAACAGAGTAAGCAGAATCACTAACTATATTGATGGGCTAAGTGGAAAAATTCTCCACAGCCAGTATCAGTGCCCCATTCTCAGTTCTCTGAGTGCTAGTAAGCCCAGATAGAGTGATGGAATTATGTGGTCTCCACCAAACTGCTGCTTTTCCAAATTTACCTGAACCATCAGTAAACAGTGTTAAAGCATTAGGTATGGGAGAGTGAACTATTTTTGTAGGCAAGATCCCAGGAGTACGAGATAAGAAATGAAGGAGTTTATCAGCAGGAAGGACATGCGCTATTTGTCCTGTATAATCAGAGAGAGCTATTTGCAGATCAATAGATGCTGGCAATACTGCTTTGAATTGCTTTTTACTTAAAGGAATCCTGAAAATATCAGGATCATAACCTAGCAACTGACAACATTGTCTGCAACCTGAATGGATGACTTTACTAAGTAACTGGATATAGGGAGAGAGTGTTTTAGTCCCGGTATGTGAGCAAAAAAAAAAAACCCATTCTAGAAAGCACAGTGCTGGGGGGTCATCTGTCCTACTAACCCTCCAGGGGAGTGTTTGGTGGGAAAAATAAATAACTGGATGGAATAATGGGTGTCTGTGCAATCTAGTTGCCTCTGAGAGGTGGCTTGTTCTATTTTCTCAATTTCCCTTTTTGCTGCGGGGGTTAACTCTCTGGGAGAATCCAGGACTGTATTGCCCTTTAAGATAGACAACAGGTTTTGCAGCTTATAAGTCGGAATGCCTAAAGTGGGGCAGAGCCAGTTGATATGCCTGGTAATTTCTGATAATATTTAAAGTGTGTAAGTTGCTAGTATTTAACCTTTTGAGGTCTTACTGACCGGGACGTTAGTATGTACCCAAGATATTTCCAAAGAGAGGACATTTGTGCTTTTTCAGGTGCAATAATTAAACCTTTTAGCTGTATTCTTTATGACAGAGGTATGTCGATTTAAAAGCATTAGTTCTGTTGGGGCTGCTAGTAAAATATCATCCATAAAATGAATAACCTTACAATCAGGAAATTCTTTTCTACTGGGGAGCAAAGCTTGATTTACATGATACTGACACATGGTAGGACTGTTTAGCATTCCTTGAGGAAGCACTTTCCAATGAAATCGACAAGCTGGCCTTTCATTATTGTAAACGCAAATTTTTTTCTGTCCTGTTCTGCTAGGGGAATCATATAAAAACAGTCTTTTAAGTCAATAACAATTATAGGCCAATTGTGAGGAATCACCACGGGGGAAGGGAGCCCCTGCTGAAGGGGTTTCATAGGTTGCAAATTGGCATTAATAGCATGTAAGTCATGCAAAAGTCTCCATTTACCAGACTTTTTGGGAATGACAAAAATGGGCGAATTCCAAGGACTATTTGATGGTTCTACATGTCCAGCTTTTAATTGCTCTTTATCTAATTCATGGGCTTTCTGTAATTTCTCTCCCTTCAAAGGCAACTGTTCTACCCAAATCAGATCTTGAAAGAGCCACGTCAGGGGTAGGAGAGAGATAACGGTGGCCATTATCAGAAAGAGGTTTTTTAAATTTTTAAATTTTACTCAAATCTTAGCATAGAATTACAATCTGGGATGTCGCTTGTACATAAGGAGCACACAAAATTTTGCCACAGGCCGGAGAGCTGGAGAGCTGAGCAGGCAGGCCCCAGGGCGGCAGCCACTTTGCACCTGCTTAGGCGCTGTGCTTTGTCTGTGCTGCTTCTTTCTGTACTGCTCCTTCCTCCACCCCGCTGCCTGGCGGCTGCTGCCTGCTGCACAAACCTTCCTGCATGTGCCTCCTGCCCATCCCCAGCAGGCTAGCTTCTGCATGCTGGGCCTGGCTCCTCATTGCGTTGCTACTATGCAGGTCGAGTTCCTGGGAGCATCTGTTGGCTCCAGGTCTGCAAGCCTCCCTGCTGCTGAGCCTTTCCTTCTGCCCACCGCTCGCATGGTCGCGCAGCTCTGGTCTTTAATGTTTTTTCGTATTTTTAAATAAGCGTTAAAAGAAATGGGTTTATACATCTGATTGCCTTGTTGATCTTGCATTACTGGGCAGGCAAAGAGCTCCCCTTTTAATGCTGCTTGCTTAAGACAGGGTCTCTTCGCTGTAGCATATCCCCTGTCCTTTTTCCTATCTACTGGAGGAGGGGGCTTAGGCAAAACCTCCGTTTCCCCTTTTTTATTTTGGCCTGGTGATATCGGGGCTGAGGGAAGAGGAGGTGGTAAAGCAGGTGATGGTTCTTCCTCCTTCTCCTTTTTAGGCTCTTCTGTGTATAATGGAGCCAGGGCTGCCCTAACTAAGGCCCATAGCATTAAAGATGATACTGGGACCTTGCCCTTGCATGCAATGTTTAAGATTTCTCCCCACTTGTTCCAGAGCTTTACGTCTAGCATGCCTTCTTCAGGGAACCATGGGTTTTGGGATACAACAGTTTGCATTAGGTCCCTTAATTGAGCCTGCCAAACATAGGCTCCACTAGCTTTAAGCAGCTGTTTCAATACTTCTATATACTGTTTCTGTTAAGCTGATAACTGTTGTCCTGTGATGAAACCCTAGCCTGAATAATCCCCTGTGAACTTGGAAATCCTGAGCAGGCACCAATGACTTACTGACTGTGCAGTTCCTTTTTCACCTTCATTTTCGGGGGGTCCATCGTGATCCTTTTGTAGCGTTCCTCATGCAGGGCGCCACTTGTGGGGGTCTGTCCTACAGACCTCAGCTGCATGACGGATGAGACAGGTACTCAGACACTGATACTCAGTGAAAGAGCAGGCCAGGGGGCGGCCGGCACCAGCAGCCGAAGAGAGTTTTGCAGCTCCTCCAAGCTGGCAATGCTTGTATTTAGTTAGTACAGATTTAATTGACAAAGGCTTTGAGTCAACCACTGTGGGTAATTAACCTGGCTGCCCCCACCCTGGAGAGGGCCATCCTGCCCACAAATGATCAAAGGTTGGTCTTAGGACCACATGAGTAAACAAGCTATTTAGATAAAATACTTTACATTCCTTTGTATCTGCGTCCCAAGCTACTAACTCAAGGTAAGGATTAGGCTGCTTTTAGCCATAACCCTATCCTGAAACTTTTGCAAAACCTTCCGGCCTTCCAAGAAGGTTTGTGTGTATATCCTATAACTTCATCTTAAAATTTTTCCCACGAGCCTGACTGAACTCCCACAAAAGTCCTAGATGGCATCTTCTTCTAATAGAAGGTTGTTTTGTCTACATTGAAAATCTGTTGTTTAGTGTATCCAGCTTCATCGATGATCCCAGCTAGGTCTCCTGGATAACTACTGCAGCTTCTCTATCATCACTTTCTGCTTCACCTGGCACTTCTATGTTACAGAACGGTTTCGTACCTTAAACTTCATGAACCAACCTCAGCTAGCTTCCAATGTCTCTTTTGCAACTTTTTCACCTCTCTCAGCCTTCACAGAGTATAAGAGGGTAAGGGCCTCGCTCTGAGTTAGACTTTGGCTTACAGGAATATTGTGGTTTTCACGCACATCCGTATGAAAAGACCACCAAACAGGCTTTGTGTGAGCAATAAAAGCTTTTAATCACCTGGATGCAGGCAGGCTGAGTCCAAAAAGAGAGTCAGCAAAGGGAGATAGGGGTGGGGCCATTTTATAAGATTTGGGTAGGTAAAGGAAAATTACAGTCAAAGGGGGATTGTTCCCTGGCGGGCAGGAGTGGGGGTCACAAGGTGCTCAGTGGGGGTGATTTTGAGCCAGAATGAGCCAGGAAAAGGACTTTCACAAGGTAATGCCATCACTTAAGGCAAGGACCGGCCATTTTCACTTCTTTTGTGGTGTAATGTCATCAGTTAAGGCAAGGACCGGCCATTTTCACTTCTTTTGCGGTGGAATGTCATCAGTTAAGGCAAGGACCAGCCATTGACACTTCCTTTGTGGTGGAATGTCATCAGTTAAGGCGGGGCAGGACATTTTCACTTCTTTTGTGATTCTTCAGTTACTTCAGGCCATCTGGGCGTATACCTGCAAGTCACAGGGGATGCGATGGCTTGGCTTGGGCTCAGAGGCCTGACAGTGGTTAGATCTATCTAGACCGCTCAAACTTTCTCATGTCAGCAAGAAGGCTGTTTTGCTTTCTTAACATTTGTGTATTCACTGGAGTGGCACTTTTAATTTTCTTCAAGAACTTTTCCTTTGTATTCACAACTTGGCAAACTGTTTGGCTTATCTTGGCTTTCTACATGCCTTTCTCACTGAGGTTCATCATTAAGAGCTTTTGATTTAAACTGAGAGATGCAGTGGGGCATGGTAGCTCATGCCAGTAATCCCAGGACTTTGGGAGGCCGAGGCGGGCAGATCACCTGAGGTCAGGAGTTCAAGACCAGCCTGTCCAACATGGTAAAACCCCATCTCTACTAAAAATACAAAAATTAGCTGGATGTAGTGTTGGGTGCCTGTAATCCCAGCTACTCAGGAGATTGAGGCAGGAGACTTGCTTGAACCTGGGAGGCAGAGGTTGCAGTGAGCCAAGATTGCACCACTGCAGTCCAGCCTGGGCGACAGAGTGAGACTCCATCTCAAAGATGAACAACAAACAACCCACAAAACTGAGAGATGTACCACTCTTCCTTTAACTTGAAACTTAGAGACCAATGGTAGGTTTATCAACTGTCCTGATTTCAATGTTGTTGTCTTAGGAAATAGGCGGCCCAAGGAGAGAGAGACAGGGGAACAGCTGGTCTACAGAGCAGTCAGAACACATGCAACATTTATGGATTAAGTTCTCCAACTTAGACGGGTGCAGGTTGTGCTGTTGCCATAGTAACATCAAAGATAACTGATCACAGATCACCATAACAGATATAGTACTAATGAAAATGTTTGAAATATTGTGAGAATTACCAAAATGTGGCATGGAAACATGAAGTGAGCACATGCTGTTGGACTAATGGAGCCAATAGACTTGTTTGAGGCAGAGTTGCCACAGATCTTCAATTTGTAAAAAATGCAATAAGGCACAGTGCACGAACACAAGGTATGCCTGTATGTTCCTCACCTCGCGTCAGGTGCTCCCCTAGAATTCCTGGCTGCAGGGAGTCCTGTGGGAAGACGGAGAACACCACCGCAGGCTTTCCACACAGGGGTCTGGATTTGTCTGTGAAATTCAGGAGCTCCTAAAAACACCACGAAGGAAATGAAAAGTACCGTGCTGACAAAGCAAACAGAAGACTAACCAGCGTGTGAAGCCGAAAGAAAAGAGCACAGCGGTCTTCAACCCACAGGGCTCTGGAGGCGGGATGCTGAAATAGGAGAAGCCAGGAAGGAAAATGTGAAAACCATGTTTTTAGAAAAAGTCACATTTATACTTTTCAAACGAATCCTCTTAAATGAACTATTAGCCTGAAGTTGAAGGTGGGTTCAATAGGTTTATTGGTCACAAGAATCTGGCATCTCTGGGGAGGACTGTTGTTCAAATTGTGCATTTTAGCATAATTAGAACAAACAGGAATAGCCCTATTTAAACTTCATCAGTGTGTATTTTAATCTTGGTCTGTCTTTATTGTGAAAGAATTAAAAGGTTTCTATGAAAACAGGCCATCTCTTGGGGCACAGGTTGATAGGGTTAGATGAAAACAGGCCATCTCTTGGGGTACAGGAGCACAGGGGTGGTATGATGCTGGTGATCAAGTCAGATAGTGACCCTGTAGCTTAGCAACCTCCCCAGACCTTCTCCTGTAACTTGGACAGGGAGAACAAACTGACCAGCCAGCCCAAGATCTGCTTGTTATCTGGAATCACTGATGCATCTAATCTCGGAACTAGAAATTATATCAGAGAATAACCAGCATAGTATTTTCCAAGGTGTGTGTTATGAAATGCTGTTTCAGTGAGATCGTTATGGTCATTACCTGAGAAAGGGAGGCTGCACTGCCTAAGACAGAGACCCTATGGGTTTAATTTAAATGGGTTTCTTCGTCATGGAATTTCTCAGAGCCTGTGTATGCTAATGTGAAGCCAGCCCTGGTGCTAAATGAGTGGTGTCAGCTATAAGTATTCTGGGACTTGGGAGGAGGAAAATCTCTGCAGACCAACAAGTGAGGGTCACAGAGAGAAGATGGAATTTGAGCTGCACCTTAAATGATGAGTGAGCGGGGTGAGCTCACCTGTGCAGGCATGCTGAAGAAAGAAAGAGATCCTGCTTATTAGCTGGGTGTGGTGGTGTGTGCCTATAATCTTAGCTACTTGAGAAGTTGAGGCAGGAGGATCTCTTGAGCCCAGGAGGTCAAGGCTTCAGGAAGCCATGATTACACCACTGCACACCAGCCTGGGTGACAGAGCAAGACTCTGTCTCAAATACATATATGTATGTGTGTGTGTGTGTGTGTGTGTGTGTGTGTGTATAAATATATATATAAAAATATATATAAATATATATAAATAAATATATATAAATATATAAATATATATAAATATATAAATATATATAAATATATAAATATATATAAATATATAAATATATATAAATATATAAATATATAAATATATATAAATATATAAATATATATAAATATATAAATATAAATATATATAAATATATATAAATATAAATATATATAAATATATATAAATATAAATATATATAAATATATATAAAACATCGATTTCCATAAAAGATGGATGAAGAAATTGTGGCATGTCCATACAATTGCAAACTACTTACCAATGAAAAAAGACAAGGTGTTGATGGATGAATCTCAAATAAGTTATGTTGAATAGAGTGGGAAAAAAAGAAAAGTATTCTAAGTAGAAGGAACAGAGTGAACAAAGATACAGAGTCAGAAAGAAGCATGGGGTGTTGGAAGATCTGTGAGCAGCTTCTTGCAGGAGCAAAGCATCCCAGTTGTAAAGCCTTAGAACATAGAACTGGAAAAGGCAAGAATAAGCTTGGGACCAATGCAGATGCCCAGGGTAGGATGTGGAGTCAGACCTACAGGCCAAGGGGGAACTACCGAAGACCTGTAATCAGAGCCAGGACCTGACAGCACTGGAACAAAGCTAGAGAAAGTGCCCAGGTGAGCAGTGGGGAAAGCGGGGAGCGGGCTGATGGCCATGATTAAGGAGGGAGTGGCAGGGCTGAATTATGAGGGTGTGAAGGTTAATTTAATGAGTCAACTTGGCTGGGCTCCGGTGCCCAGTTGTTTGGTCAATCATGAGTCTAGATGTTGTTGGGGAGGTATTTTCTAGATGTGATTCACATTGACATCAGTAGGTTTTGAGTAAAGTAGGCTCTGCTCCATATTGTGTGTAGGCTTCATCCAATCAATTGAAGTGGAGTTTCCCAAACAAGAGTGGGGTTTCCCAAAGAAGAAGGAATTCTCCTCAAGACTGCAACATATAGAAACCCTGCCTTAGTTTCCACCCTGCCTGCTCTGCCCTGCAGATTTTGAACTTACAGCCCCCACAATCATATGTGCCAATTCCTTAAGATAAATCTCATAAATCTCTCTTTCTCTGCATGGATCTGCTTATATGCACTTTTTTTCAATAAAAATTACACTGAATATGCCTGCTTCTCCTTCCTCCACCTCTTCTACCTCTGCCATTCCTGAGGCAGGAATGCCAACCCATCCTCTTCCTCCTCCTCCTGAGCTTATTCAATGTGAAGACAATGAGGATGAAGATCTTTATGATGATCCACTTCCACTTAATGAATAGTAAATATATTTTCCCTTATGATTTTCTTAATACCATTCTCTTTTCTCTAGCTTACTTTATTATAAGCTAGAGAAATATCTAATACACAGTACATGCAAAATATGTGTTAATTGACTATTCTGGTCAACAGTAGGCTATTAGTAGTTAAGTTTCTGGGGATCCCAAAGCTATACACAGATTTTTGACTGTATAAGGATCAGTGCCTCTAACCCTCACATCGTTCAAGGATCCACTGTACATATGTATTCATATCCTGTTGGTTCTGCTTCTCTGGAGAACCCTGACTAATACAGATGATGACTATGAGATCTGGAAGTAACATGACATGGAAAAGACCTGGCAAGAGCTGCATCATAGTGACTGATGGGCTGTAAGAACTCAGCCAGAGGGAGTAGGCGGCAGCACTTTCCGCCTCTGGTGCTGGGCCAACTGAGAGAAGAGCCATATTGTCAACAGAAACAAAGGATGTCAGGAAGAAGGGGTAGTTCTGAGGTTCAGTGGACAGCTGGAGAAACAGCAAAGAGATTGACTGATATGGATACTTTTAATCTAATAGCTCAAGCACTTGAGTAGTGATAGTTCTTTGCTGAACCTAAAGCTACTGATTTCATCATAGCTGCTATTTCTGACAATAACTATTTCATGGGACGCCGATGAGAGTCACACTCCCTCTGCCTCGCCAAGCCCAGTCATTTCTTTCAGGTCTTCCTGCAGTTGAGGTCATAGCCTGACATTAACAAGGAGAAAGGGTGCTAGTGCTTAAAGCACCTTTGATTTTCTCCTCTTGTCCCTTTTTCTTTCAATTAAAAGAACAAAGGACTGAGGAAGTTTCAAAGACCCAGTGTATGTGGCAGTGGGCAGGAGGAGGTCACTGTTGTATAGTCCATCTGCCATCCCTGCTCAGTGCTGGTACTGAGCTGATATTTTTCTCAGGATTTACGAGTTTTGAAAGATATGTTTTACCTCCTAGGAAAGTATTTCATTGGTAATGCAGGTAACTGGATACCAGAACCAAAATGAAAATGGAGCAAAGTAAAAAGCAATTCAACTTCAAATACAACAGAGAATAATTAATATTCCTTAGGAAACATGAAATGAGGGAAAACAAATGATTAATTCTCTCTGTGTTGATATAGAAGGTTACCTGGGCTGTTTAGAAAGGTCATTTTTGTTTGCATGTGCATCTTAAAACAAATGAGGGGTGGAAGTCTCTTATCTTTTACAAAATATATGGATTAGCAGACTGCATTTTGAATAACAAAATCATGCGTATTTTCTACAATTTTTAAAGGGACAATTTGGCAAGTGTTATTCAAAAGAAGCATAAATAGAAAATCCTCTTTTTTACTCTCCCAAAACCATTTTATTGTCTGTGGCAGTCTCAAATTATATAATTACTTGAAGAAATAAGAGCATCACTTAACCTCTCCTATTTGTGTTTCCTAACATGAGGTTTTCATCAGGAGGTCATTCCCAAGTGAAACTTATTTACTTCTGAAGTTTTCCTGGATTTGTCCCTCCAACCCCTGCTTCCTGAATATGTTCTAAATGGCATGATAGTCTGAGACTTGCTTATATGACATGTCTCAAAATCTCTATCCCGGTCACAGCTTTTTTCATAGATACAGTCCATTCCATTAAAGTTCCTCTTAAAGCCCCCCAAATTCAAATATGATACTTAATAAGCAGCCTGCCCATTGTGGACTTTGGCTTTCAGTAACATACGCACTATACATCTGAAAACAGAAGCTAAATCTAGATTTGCTGTTTTGCCAGCCTTATTCTTTTTTTTGGCTGTTACTAAGCTCTTTGTTTGGCAGTATAACATAGTGGTTGCAGTCAGATAGAACCGAAATTGATTTTTTCCCTACTCCTTAATCGTTATATGACCCAGGGCAAGTTATTTCACATCCCTAAATTCCATTCGCTCATCTCTACAACTGAGCTAATAATACCGACCCCCTGCAATTGTTAGGGGGGCCAAATGGGAGGCTAAAACAGACCTAGTGCCATCACTGCAGCATGGTTACTGCTCAGTAAATTATAGCCATTTGAGTTGATGACTAGGAAACCTTCTTCCTTTCTTAGTGAGTTGTTTAGGTCACTAGATCAGGGGAATGCCAGAGGCACTACTGCTTATTTATTGTCCATGGCAAAGATTTCATAAATCTCCCTAAGTTTGTCCACAAACATATGACCTGGTCAGCAGTACAGCAAGGTGGGCAGCAACGCCTTGGTTACTGTCCCGGTCAAGGGGCATGGACTAGTGGCCGTATCCCTTGAAGGAAGGTCTTGAATGCTATAGAGCTTTATTCTACATCTAAACCTTGCTGCTCAAGGTTATTATCAATGGTAATACCTGGAAGGCAATTGACTAAATGTATAAATGGAATAAATCTGGAAGATAGTGCCTAAAATTTTTTTTTTTTTTTGAGACAAGAGTCTCGCTCTGTCGCCCAGACTGGAGTGCAGTGGCATGATCTCAGCTCACTGCAAGCTTCGCCTCCTGGGTTCACGCCATTCACCTGCCTCAGCCTCCTGAGTAGCTGGGACTACAGGCGCCCGCCACCACACCTAAGTTTTTTTTTTTTTTCTGTATTTTTAGTAGAGATGGGGTTTCACCATGTTGGCCAGGATGTCCTTGATCTCCTGACCTCATGACCCACCTGCCTCAGCCTCCCAAAGTGCTGGGATTACAGGCGTGAGCCACCGCAACCGGCCTAAGACTTTGTATTTTAGAAAGAAGACTTAAAGAGATTTCATGAGTTAAACAGACCTATGATTGCAAAAAGAAACTGAATGGAAGTGTGAAAATAAATGAAGACCACTTACGGGAGAATAAGTAAAGGCAATTGTGTTAGTTAATTTGTGCGTTGCTTTAAAGGACCCAAGACTGGGTAATTTATAAAGAAAAGAGGTTTAATTGGCTCACATTTTGGCAGGCTGTATAGGAAGCGTGGTGCTGGCATCTGCTTCTGGTGAGGTTCTCAGGGAGCTTACAATCCAGGCAGAAGGTGAAGGGGAAGCAGGCACATCAGTGGCAAGAGAGGGAGCAAGGTGGAGGAAGTGCTGCACTCTTTTAAACAATCAGATCTCGCATGAACTGAAAACTCAGTCTTCACCGAGGGGATAGTGCTAAGCCGCTCATGAGGGATCCACCTCCAGGACCCTAACACCTCCCACGAGGCCCCTCCTCCAACACTGGGGATTACATTTCAACATGAGATCTGGAGGGAACAAACACCCAGATTACATCAGCTATATATCCAGAGCTTGCTCTAGCAAGGCAGTCAGCTGCTGTTGCTTGAGTTTGGCAGAGACTCACAGGCAGGGACAGGAATGGGAAAGCTTCATGGCGGAAAAAAGGGAAGGAAGGTTTCAGGTGCGCCCTCATTGGAGGCTGTGGGATGGGGAAGCCGTAGGTGGGCTAACCAGAAGTGAGGAATCCTATGTGATTGGTTATGGGAGCATATTTGGCTTTCTCTAATTAGTCCTAAATTGGAAGCGGGTCATAGGTGGCGGGGGCGGGTAGGCAAAGATGAAGCAAGCTGGCCATCGTTAATCAAGTCCTGCTCATTTGGGACCAGTTGCTGTAAGGGTGGTTGTTTGGCTTTCTGGAATCATTGCTGCAGATAGTTGGTTGGCTTTCTGAGCTAGTTGCTGCAAGTTGTGGGTCAAAGTTCTGTTTTTATATACGATCCAGCTAATTTTCCATTTGTATATTCGGTCTCTCGGGTAAACAAAGACCCCCTCTCACACCTGGCATCCCCGCCTGCATCCCCACAGGCTGGTTTCAGAATCTCTGCTTGGTGTCGGAGGCCTGTATTAAGAGCCAGGATAGGGTGTCACCTGACTGCGGGTTAATTACATGAAATCCCCACAGCTAATTCAGTGCCTCACATTTACTAGATGCTTTAAAAATTTTTATTAAATGAATGCATGAATGCACAAAGTAGAGTGTGTTCAGTAGCCATATAAATCTTAAAGATGTATCATAAAACTGGAATCAAATAATGGAAATTACAGGAGAAAGGATTTACATCAGTGTAAGCAAGAATTTTCTGACCCTAAAGCTGTCCAGTGATGGACAGCCATCCAGCCTCTCTCGAGTTAGCTCCCTGTCACAGGCATGGGCTGGATGGTCCCTTCCCAGGGATTCAGTGGAGGAACAGTTTTAGGGCTGAAAGTGGTCTGGCATGACAAGGCTGTATGTTTGAGGGCAGGAAAGATGGCAAGAGTTAAAGTAGCTGTGGTTTCTTCATCAAAGCTTACACATTGTAAGCTCAATAAATGTGAGCTAACATCATCATCACCATGATTATTATTATTAGTAACCCTCAGCACATGTCAGGGAGGAATGAGGACCCCTCTACTTCCCCACTTAGGGACCACACACCCAAGGACCTGGCCACACACCATATTTTTTGTTTGTTTGTTTGTTTTGTTTTTGTTTTTGTTTTTTGGATACAGAGTCTTACTCTGTCACCCAGGCTGGAGTGCAATGGCACCATCTCAGCTCACTGAACCTCCACCTGCTGGGTTCGAGTGATTCTCCTGCCTCAGCCTCCTGAGTACCTGGGATTACAGGTGTGTGCTACATGCCTGGCTAATTTTTGTATTTTTAGTAGAGATGGGGTTTCACCATGTTGGCCAGGCTGGTCTTGAACTCCTGACATCAAATGATCCACCTGCCTTGGCCTCCCAAAGTGCTGGGATTACAGGCGTGAGCCACTGCGCCTGGCCACACACACACTTTTTATGTTGGGCATAGTGATAGACCAGTGAGCTCCCACAAAATCTGGCCTCCATCAATTTGGTACCATTTCTGACATTGTCTTCAAAATGGTGGAGAATTTACTACTTATGAAAATAATGTAACAAAATACCACTTTAAACCATGGAAGTTTTCAAAATAATATTGAGGTAAAATTCTAATTGGCAAAACTTGTTGCATACATATACAGATTTTGTTATTAAAATTATTAAAAATTATTAAATTTTTATTATTAAAAATGTTTCACTGCTATTCAGGAGGCTGAGGTAAGAGGATCACTTGAACCCGGAAGTTTAAGGCCGCAGTGGGTTTTGATGGCACCATGGCACTCTAGCCTGGGTGACAGAGTGAGACCCCATCTAAATAAATAAATAAATGATACACAAATAAATAAAATGTTTCACTGGATCCCTCTGAGTCTCCATCAGACCTAGGAAATGCATTTATTTTAACAACTATATTAACAAAGATTCACTTAGCTGATTTTATTGCCCTGTTTTTGTTACTTCTTGGCTTTCATATTTTTAATTGGAAAAAATTGGAATGTATGTCTTACAATGACTTGCAGGAATATTACTTTTATGCCCATAAATCATTCTGCATATGTCAAGTGTTGCAGCTCAAGCATCTATTATTGTAATTAGCTGTCACTTCAGTCCTTTATTGTTGAATTCACCAACACCAATTCTGTCATATTTTTAAAAACCTCTTCTGGAGCTTTAATTCCCTCCGCAAACTGTATATGGAAATTTAGCCCCATTGCTTGCCCCGTTTTAACATGGCCTTCTTAACCCCCACCCACCAACTGCTAAATTATTTCTATGTTGTTTAGTCAAAGTTAAATGTACCACATTTGGACTGCAAGAACTGCCTGAAAATACTCATCCACTTCTGAATTGCCTGAGGTGTTAGATACATTTGTTCTAGAACTGGTGGCTCTGAATTCATCCTCAGAAGCCTGTGGGAGAAATCATATTTCATAATAAAGCAAGATTAAGATAACCAAACACACGCATAACATGTTAATAAACTCATAATTTTTAGTAAGAGCTTTGTATTTTTTAGAAATTTTCCATGAAGCCTGATTCATTTAATCTTCACTTGCACCCCTGCGTGAGATGCAGGACAGGCTTCAGAAGCCTCATTTCACAGATCAGGAGACTGTCTCCAAGAGGCTAATTGAAGAATGTCCTGGAATTATTCCATCAGTTAACACCACAGTTAGGACTTGTACTCAAACTTCGGGTTTATGCAACACATTTTTTTTTTTTGCCTGTGCCACACTGTTTCTCGTACTTAATAATTGGCTGAATCAGTGATACAGATGTATAGTAACATCCCACATATACAGCAGTACCCCAGAAATCTAGAGCTTCCATAGCTGAGAGCCTTCTTTAACTGGAATTCAACCAAGAACCAAAAAGTATGCAGAAAGACCTAGCACATCCAAGACGTCTCAAAGCTACTGCCTTTTACTCATCGGAGCAGACTCCTAGGGCCTTATTGAAGATCTTTTTAGTCTTAGACTCACCACAGGTTGAATTAATTTCCAAGCTCATGGCTGATAAGAAGTCACAAGTCAGAGAGAAAAACATGCCCAGACAAGTGAGAGCTGTCCACAAGGCAGGAATAAACACACTGACCATTGAAATCAACGCAGGCATTTTGGAATTCAGGTATTCCTGTACCAACAAGTATAAGCCAGCCCCTCGTGCCTCGCAGCAAGCTCCAGAGGCCCCCGGCCTTCAGCATGACTATGGCTTTCCCTTTAGGAAAAAGGAAAAGTCCATTTACTCACTGCTTCCAATTCAGGACAAAAGAAATGTGCTTAAACATTTTAGAGAATGGTTCATCAAAACGGCCTAAAGGTTTCCTCTGCAGAGCAGTAAACTCTTAGCTCTGGGCAATTTGCATCTCTAAGGCAGCACTCAAGCAGTATTCATAATAGCCAGAATATGGAATCTGCTTAAGTGTCCATCAGTGAAGGACTGGATAAAGAAAATGTGGTGTATTTATACGTGATGAAATACTATTCATCTGTGAAAAAAAAGAATGAAATCATGTCTTTTGCAGCAACATGGATGGAGCCAGAAGCCATTATCTTAAGTGAAACAACTCAGACACAGATAGACAAACACCGCATGTTCTCACTCATAAGTGGGAGGCAAATAATGTGTACACATGGAGGCGGAGTGTGGAATGATGGACAGTGGGGACTTCGAGGGGTGGGAGGTGGATAGTGGGTAGTTGTTTGGTGGGTACATTGCATGTTCCTTCAGTGGATACACTGAAGGCCGTGATTTCACCACAGTGCAATAAATCAGTGTAGCAAAATTGTACTTGTACTGGCTGGGCACCATGGCTCACCCCTGTAATCCCAGACCTTTGGGAGGCCGAGGCAGGCAGATCACTTGAGGCCAGGAGTTCAAGAACAGCCTGGCCAACATTGTGAAACACCATCTCTTCTAAAAATACAAAAATTAGCTGGGCGTGGTGGCGGGCGCCTGTAATCCCAGCTACTCAAGAGGCTGAGGCAGAAGAATCACTTGAACCTGGGAGGCAGAGATTGCAGTGAGCCAAGATTGCGCCACTGCACTCCAGCCTAGGTGACAGAGCAAGATTCTGTCTCAAAAACCCCATAAATATATACAAATTTTAAAAATAATAACATTTAAAAAAATAAAGCAGTGCTGTCTGATAGGAATATGCCCAGGCCATGAATGTGAGCCACATATATAATCTAAAATTTTCCAACCGCCACATAAAATTGCAAAAAGAAACAGGGAAAATTAATTTTCACAATATTTTCTGTAATTTAGTATATCCTGAATACCATTTTAACATATCATCAATACAAAACAATAATGAGGCAGGGCACAGTGGCTCATGCCTATAATCCCAACACTTTGGGAAGCTGAGGCGGGCAGATCACCTGAGATCGGGAGTCCGAGACCAGCCTGACCAACATGGAGAAACCCCGTCTGTACTAAAAATACAAAATTAGCTGGGCGTGGTGGCACATGCCTGTAATCCCAGCTACTCAGGAGGCTGTGGCAGGAGAATCGCTTGAACCCGGGAGGTGGAGGTTGCGGTGAGCTGAGACTGCGCCACTGCACTCCAGCCTGGGCAACGAGTGAAACTCCATCTCAAAATAATAATAATAATGAGATATTTTACTTTTTTTTTTTTTTTTTTTTTTTGCTAAGGACTTTTCAGAATCCAGTGGTAACTTGACACCCACAGCACATCTCAGTTTAGACATGCCAACATTTCAAGGACTCAGTAGTGACCTGTGACTAGTGGCAGTCTTGTTAGCACAGGTCTGGGGAGAGTCCCTCTCTCTCTAATTAGAAAGCAGAATATTTTTTGTTTTGTTCTAATTTAATACACAAACCCAAAGAGCTAAAGTTTTTACTCTGATCAGCAGTTTTTATAGCAAATAAAAAAAAACAATTTCAGTTGGAAGGACTGGTCACTGGGGAGTTGCTTCTACCGCAGAAGTCACGTTGTCTCTGGTTCTGCAAGAGTTTCAGGACTTTGAAAGCTGCAAAAGCATTTCGTGCCATTTAACACACACTACTGATGTAAATTGCTTATTTTTACTTCCAAATTTAAAGACTAGACTCTGCCTTCTTATAAAATGATCCTGATGTTATTCTCAGAAGTCAAACACTTATAATCTTTATCTGCCAAGAGATTTCCGCAGGGAACATCTCTAAAATACACTTGGCCTGCCGCAAACTAGTGTCATTTCCCTGCTACAAGTATCATTTCCCTATTATTTCCATTGGTTCATTTATTCATTCATTCATTCATTCATTCATTCATTCAGCAAGGATTTGTTTAGTCTCTGCTCTGTACCAGGCTCCACTGGCAGCAGTAGGGCTACAGTGAGGCCGAGGGTGTTTTCCTTCAAGAGCTCACATTATACTAAGAACATAAGCAGGTAAAGAGTATATATAGAATACAATTTAATAAGTGTGTAATTACCTGTAATCCCAGCACTTTGGGAGACCGAGGTGGGCAGATCACATGAGGTCAGGAGTTCGAGACCAGCCTGGCCAACATGGCGAAACCCCGTCTTTGCAAAAATACAAAAATTAGCCGGGCATAATGGCAGGTACCTGTAATCCCAGATACTTGGGAGGCTGAGGCGGGAGAATTGCTTGAACCCGAGAGGCGGAGGTTGCAGTGAGCTGAGATCGCATCATTGCATTCCAGCCTGGGGGACAGAGCAAGGCTCCGTCTCAGAAAAAAAAAAAAAAAAAGTGTGCAATTAATTCAGATCAGGGGAAAGTCACAAGTGGTCTCTTAGAGGAGGTGATATCTGAGCTGAAGCTGGAAGGATTCATGGAGAGGAACTGGTTGGAGAAAGGGGAGAAAGGTTTTCCTTTGCACAGAGGTGAAGTGGTTTGTGGTTCAGAGAAAAGGCAGTCAGTCACCTGTGTGGCTGGAACATACAATGCCAACTATGAGTGGAGACAGAAGACAGAGACATTGTGGGGCTTGGGTGTCATGCAGAGAAGCATGGACTTAGCCTTCAAGTTCATGGAAAACCTTTGAAAGGTTTTAGTCAGAAAGGAGACAGCTGTCAGGAAATGGATTGGAAAAGGCTGAGACTGGAATAAGGGAACCATTTAGGAAGTCCTGCAGAAATAGGTCAGGGTGAGGGTGAGTTCTTGAACTAAGTCCAGTGGCAGTAAGGAAGGGGAGGAAGGCAGGGTCCCTCCTGGGCTGGCTGAGCTGCCCCAGGCTGGCTCATTACCTGGCCTCGGCCTGGGTTCCTCGTTGTCCCGTATCCTCTGAAAGAAGCCCAAGACTGAGTCAAGGGGTGAGCATCAGCCCGCATGCCTCCTACTTGAGAGGGGGCATTTACTCAGGAGGCTGAGGTGGGAGGGTCACTTGAGCCCAGGAGTTCGAGTCCAGCCTGGGAAAAGTGTGAGTCCCTGTCTCTAAAAAATAATAATAATACTTGAAGGGGTATACATCATCCCATTTCTGTAAACAAAGAAAGTCCCCAAATATGTAGGAGCACACAGATGTGCGTGTATACAGATGTGGGTGGAAAAGAGTCTGGAAAGATACACACCAAACACAGTGTGTTCACAGTGATCACCTGTGGAAGAGGGAGCAGAGTTAGGGCAAAGGAGGGCTTCCTATTTCTATTCTAGAGGCATCACATTGCTTAAATGTATTTCTTTGTTAGTGTACAGTGTGCACATATATTTAAATATAGCTATATTTGAAGAGTCACTTAATTGTAATCAATATATTGTGAATAGCAGAAGCATTTAGTATATATGTGTGTGTACATGTATATGTACATGTGTATGCATTTATATATGTGTGTATATACATTTTGTGTGTGTGTGTAAGACACCATGATAGAACTATACTTGCAATGAGAAATATTTAGGGCCTGATCATGTAGATAGAGGGCCCATCATCAAATACCTTTCTGATGTCTTGAGCCCCTAAATAGTAAGTGCCACAGTAATGCCGATCCGAGCCTGCACCTGCAGGGTATCGGTTGTAAAATGGAGTTGGGATGATTCCACCTTCCCCACAGGGCACTACTCCCGACCCACCATAATGTACCGACAGCGCGTGAGGGCAAGATTCCACAGGAATTCCTGCATACTTTCACCATGTGTAAACACAGACACTACATTTTCAGTTTTGTTAATGAAAATTCAAAGGTTTTATTTACCTTCTAGCTGTTGTTTTTAAATATGAAAGTCAAATTCATTTTAATTCACTTGCATCTGTCTAGGTAACATTTTTGCCTTTTACCAATCCTCACCCCAAACCAAACCAATATCGACAAAAATAGTTCAGATCATTTTCACAACCTATAGTATCTTATTCTCCACCTCAAAGCCTGCCTGGTTCTCATTTAATTTATTTCCGTCCATCCCCCTTACATAAGACAAATGTTCATGACCCCTCTTCTCTTCAGCCCCTCACCTCGGTCACTTGGATTTCAATCATCTTTGAGTTTACATGAGTTAACTCTTACCTTTGAATCCTTATTTATCCATTTCTAAACTTAAATCCTTGAACAAAGGGTAGGATTTACAAGATGATAACTCTTCCTCCCTTTATTTCACATTCATGATCTCAGAGGCATTTTTCTTGGAGAGAGAGATGAAGGCAGATTTTCCTGAATTCCTGTTACTGCCCTATGGGGTAGAGGTCCCCAGATGCAAGCCTCCCTGAAATGTAGAGAGACACACAGCCATGGCAGTGGCCGAGGAGCTGGCCTTTGATCCTGCTCTCACTCTGAAATTGCCTGCCAGACACTGCATCCAAAACAGATGGAAAATGCCATGTTTAAGGCAGCCTTAAGTGTTTTTATTTTCAAGTTATTTTTAGTCAGTATTGTCAGGCTCTCTGTGTCACTTGGCATTTACATCTAGCCCTAAGAGAAACAGCGAGATTGTTAAAGAGAAGAATGTTTCATCAGTTAAAATATAAGCATCAAAGTAGAAGAAACAAAAGAGCAGGTAGGTAAGGTCTTGGGACATTTTCTGAGGGAAAGAGATGCATTTTGGGGAGCTCTGCTCTCTTTACCCTCTGAGACAAGAAACCCCACATAGACTTCTCAGAGGTGGTAAAGGACAGCAGCAAAAGCGCTCCAGATGCGGAACTCTCCAGGACAGTGTCCTGTACCACGGCCAGCCCCTGCAGGACATTTAGGTGACGGCGGCTCGCTTCTGCCTAAAAAGCATATTGCTGAGTTTCTCTTTTTGTTAGAAAAGTCTTTCTCAACATTGATCCCAAATCTGCCTCCAACCCTTCCATTGTTGATCCAAGTTCTAGAACACAGATACTTTTTTTCCTTGTTATCTCTGTTTTTTATTTTTATTTTTAATTTCCATAGGTTTTTGGGGAACAGGTGGTGTTTGGTTACATGAGTAAATTCTTTAGTGATGATTCGTGAGATTTTGCTGCACCCATCTCCCGAGCAGTATACACTGAACCCAATTTGTAGTCTCTTATCCCTTACCCGCTTCCCTCCCTTTCCTCCTGAGTCCCCAAATTCTATTGTCATTGTTATGCCTTTGCATCCTCATAGTTTGGCTCCCACTTATGAGTGAGAATGCCTGATGTTTGGTTTTCCATTCCTGAGTTACTTCACTTAGAATAATAATCTCCAGTCCCATCCAGTTTGCTGTGAATGGCATTAATTCATTCTTTTTTATGGCTGAGTAGTATTCTATCATAGATAGGTAGATAGATAGATAGATAGATAGATAGATAGATAGATAGATAGATAGATACATAGATAGATACATAGATAGATAGATAGATAGATAGATAGATAGATAGATATAGAGATAGCTCACAGTTTATCCACTTGTTGATTGATGGGCATTGAAGGGTTGGTTCCACGATTTTGCAATTGTGAATGGTGCTGCTGTAAACATGTATGTGTGAGTATCTTTTTCGTACAGTGACTTCTTTTCCTCTGGGTAGATACCCAGCAGTGCAGTTGCTGGATCAAATGGCAGTTCTACTTTTAGTTCTTTAAGGAATCTCCACACTGTTTTCCATAGTGGTTGTACTAGTTTACATTCCCACCAGCAATGTAGAGGTATTCCCTAGAACACACATACTTATAGGCCCTAGCAAAATAATGGCAATAGATACCTAAAAACTTGTGAGTATCTGATGCCCATCCCATCAGAAAACAGAAATATGAGAAGCCTGATGTCTGGGACGAGGCATTCCCAGGGCAACCTTTTTGGTTGGTGACACCAGACAGGTAGGGGAGCTTGCGTTTCCCCCTGTTCCTGCCATACCTAGAATGCCCATGGGGACAGTGGCCTTATACCTCCAAGGCCAGAACTCACTGCGGATGGGTCAAGGAGCTATTTTTGGTTAAATATTCAAGAGATGTATTTTGTTTTTTCTAAGTAGCTCCACAGCTTGTTAGCCCCTTGGAAGATAAAATGTAGGTGAAATAGTTTTACAGCATGTATTCTGACAGTGAAGACTTTGGAAGGATAATCATCCCTGTCAATTGTCTCCACTTAGTTTATAAAACATTTACTTTTGCATTAATTTATCTGATCCTCCCATAGCCCTTGAAGGAAACAGGGGCCATTATGACTCCTGGGGTCACAGATTTGGGGCTGAGATCCAGGAACACTGAATGGCCAGCCCAAGGACATGTGCTAAGATGTGGCTAAACCAAGGCAACTGCTCCAGTCTATGGAGAATGAACCTGATATTCCTCACACAGATGACACCCTAATGAATGGCCCTGAGAATAATGACCTGTTGTTCTGATGATCAAACATGGTCTACAAGGAGTGAACAACAAGACAAATGCCTCCTTTTGTCTCAATGCCAGAAGTAGTCAAACTGTGAAGTAGCAGCCCCCAGCTGTGTGCCCTTGGCAAGGGGAACCCCTCCGTGGAGAAGTCTCTCTGTGCATGGCCACCCTCCTCCACGGGACTTTATTGCACTCTCTGAAGCCACCCTAAATCTTCACCTTTTCTCTCACCACTCCAAGAACCCGGCCAAAGAAAATCCTCCCTGAATTCTCAGTCTCTCCCTAAACAATGTGATATTTTATGAGAATTTCCAGAAAAGAGAAGCAGTGAAAAATTTTTACTTTTCTCTACGTTATCTTCAGTGACTTACTCATTTTATCTATAGCATGCCAGACATTGGAGAGCAAACTAGACCAATAATAAAATATAGCTCCTGCCTTGAGTGAACTTACAGTATTAAGGGAGAGTCAGGCTACAAGAAAAACAAGGAAATAAAATAAGTCCAGTGACAGATGGACTAAATAGAATAGAATAAACAGGGTGTTGTGATAAAGGAGGTAGGGATCAATTTCAACTGCAGTGGTTGGAGATCTCTCTGAGGATGTGGTACTGGGACCTAAACATGACAAGGCTCAGTTATGAGAGAAGAGGGGTATTGGGGTGGGGGCAGAGAGAGAATTCCAAGAAGAATACGTGGCTTGCAGAAGGCCCGGAGAGCTTTTCCAGCATGGCTTACCCCAGAAAACACCAATGTTACTAAGACCAATACAGTAGGCCGAAGGGGCAGGAAGAGAGACCCCAAGCATTCCCTCTTCTAAATTATTTTACCTCCTTGCAATTGTGTGGTCTGCATCCCACCCGCTTCTTCCTGCCCGAGAACTTCAACATCTTCAATACTTCAGGAAACCCACCTAATCATGTTTTCTCTTCCGCTAACTCTTCTGTCCGTGTTACATGATCTAGAGTTAAAACTACCATCCTTTCTCATTTGTCTAGTTTCTTAGGAACCTTTTCCTACTTTTTTGAGGAAAAGTGTTTTGGAGGAAAATGTTTTTTTTCCCAAACATGCTGTGATAAGACACAGCAGGGATTTATTTTATTTTTCTCCCTGAAGCCATCCTTCTTGGAGCTTTTATTGGAAGTGCAATGAAGGGTTTAAATTAGAGTTAAGAAATATCTAAGCACAGAGGTAAGGTCACTCTGGCCTCTATATGCAGAAGGGGACAAGAAGGGGAATGAGGGGTGACCAGAAAGGAGACTCTCGCCAGCATGGTGACAAGTGGATGTGAGAAAAGAGGAGGGGTTTGCAACCTACCTTTCAGGCAGCCTCTGAAGGACCTACTGAAACTGCATGCTTGGGCTGGAGAAACAGAAACATGGGCAGCCGTGCAGGATGGTTGGTGGTGTCCCAAATGAGGCAAGTGGCTGATGGGGACATGGTCAGATATTTTAATTAGAAGGATACCTACAAGAAATTTAAGAGGCAACGTCAACTAGGCAGTTATATACACAGGCTTGAAGCTCAGAGGTGAGACCTCTGTTAGCTTATAAATCTGAGACTTATTCAGGGAGGTAGACAGCTGCCTAACCCTAGCACAGCCATACTGGTTACGCATCTGCTGTCTGCCTGTTTGGCAGTGCCCAAGCCAGTCAGTTGTTTCTGGGAAGGTGCTGGAGAGAGTGAGTCTTTCTTTTCTGTCTCACTCTTTCTTCTTTCTTTCACCACTGGCTCTATCACCCAAGACCTCACAACCACCCTCCTATTTCGCCCCAGTCTGTACCCCCTCCTTCCCTCCTCATTCTCTCTGTACCTCTGTTTCCCTCTCAGTTACTCTTTCTCCCTCTTCTTTCTTGAAGTCCTGTCTGCATTTTCTCCTGTCTGTTGATTTTGGTTACATTCTTACGTCTAGCATTCTATCTGTCCTAATCTGCCTTCCACCTTTTCTCACTTCTTTTCCTTCTACTCATATCTGGGTTTGTTCCTTTTTCTGCAGAGTTTTTTCCTCTTTCCTTCGTTTTTCTTTCTTTTTTCTCGAGACAGCTTCTTGCTCCATTGCCCAGGCTGGAGTGCAGTGGCGCAGTCTTGGCTCACTGCAACTTCCCCGTCCTGGGTTCAAGCGATTTTCCTGCCTCAGCCTCCCGAGTAGCTGGGATTACAGGCATGCACCACCACACCTGGCTAACTTTTGTGTTTATAGTAGAGATGGGGTTTCACCATGTTGGCCAGGCTAGTCTCAAACTCCTGACCTCAAGTGATCCACCTGCCATGGCCTTCTAAACTGCTGGGATTATAGGCATGAGCCACCGTGCCTGGCCCTCTTTCCTTCTTTTAAATACCTTCTTTTAAATAAACTCTCTTAACTTTCTCAAAACTATAGTTTCTAAATAACACAATGTAGTTTCTAAAACTATATTTTGTTTTCCTACTCCTAACTGAAAAAAGCAGGTATGTGGAATGTTTACAGATCCTCAAAGGAAAAAAAAAAAAAAAAACTCCATAGTTTATTTGGGCTTGGGGATTTTCCAGGGATCCATGACTGATTAAAGCCTTTCAGAAGGAGCCTCCTCTTGCATTTGGGTGTTAATTTCATTATTGCTGGTACATTCTATACCAACGTGTTGTCCCTGTATTTCCCCATTGGTTGTGTCACTTGTCCCCTTTTCATCTCCTCTGGCATATCACAGATTACAAGTGAAACCAGATCCAAAGCATTTCTCAGAGCTGCCTCTGATCAACCTCTGAAAATCCAGCAGTGCATGATTGTCTTGTTTCTAAGCTACTAACACAATTGACGTTTAACTTCCTTGGACTAAAGCTTCCTCTGGATTCTGTAACAATAGACATAGCCATCTTGTATGGGATTTTTCTATTTTTTTTTTGTTTGTTTGTTTTAATTTTTTTAAGAGATGAGGTTTTGCCATGTTGCCCAGCCTGATCTCCAACTCCTGGGCTCAAGCGATCCCCCTACCTCGGCCCCCCAAAGTGCTGATGTTACAGCTGTGAGCCACTGCACCTGGCCTTAATTTTTTAAATGGATAACTGGAAGTTTCCATCGAGGGCCCATATGTTGAATGAGTGTTTGTGATGCGGAGGACTCTGCTTTGTGCTAGCATGAAGAATACACGATAGTCACATCCCTGAGGAGCACCTCGTCCATAAGGAGTCCTGCAATGGGCCGGGCGCGGTGGCTCACGCCTGTAATCCCAGCACTTTGGGAGGCCGAGGTGGGCGGATCACGCGGTCAGGAGATCGAGACCATCCTGGCTAACATGGTGAAACCCCGTCTCTACTAAAAGTACAAAAAAATTAGCCGGGCGTGGTGGCAGGTGCCTGTAGTCCCGGCTACTTGGGAGGCTGAGATAGGAGAATGGCGTGAACCCAGGAGGCAGAGCTTGCGGTGAGCAGAGATCCTGCCACTGCACTCCAGCCTGGGCGACAGAGCGAGACTCCGTCTCAAAAAAAAAAAAAAAAAAAAAAAAAGGAGTCCTGTCAGGAAAATACAGATAAGGTCCGAGGGAGTGAAGGACCTTAGTGAAGGTCCTTCACTAAGTAAAGGAGGAGATGCCGAGGCTGCCTGGGGAGACCACGGAGAGCTCTGCAGAGGGGTGACATTTGAGTTTCAATTGAATCTTCACAATATACTCCATTCCTGCAGCTCTGCTCCCGAGCTGTCTCTTTGACCTCAGCCTCTTCCACATTCCCCCTCATTCATGGTGTTCCTGAGGCACTGACCTTCTTTCTGGTCCTTGAACATGCCAAGCTTGCCCCCCTTCTTGGGGCCTGGCATTGGCCATTCCTCCTGCTGGCATAGTTCTTCTCCCATATGTTCCATCATTTAGCCTGTGCTCAGTGCTGCCCCCTCAGAGCAGCCTGCACTGACCTCCCCAGCTTGTCCACCCAGTCACTCTCTGCCATATTACCTAATTTTATCCTCTCAGCATGTGTCTGTGCCTGAAGTTAGCTGATGCAGTTGTTTATCGCTTGTCTTTCTCTTCCAGAATTAAATTCCTTGAAGATAGTGATTTTCTCTTTCTTGTTCAATAGTATGGCCCTATGTGTCTAGAACAGTGACGCATGGAAGATTCTCAATAAATACTTGCTGACTGACAGATGAACACCCCAGCCCAGTGTGGACAGAGCTCTAAAATCCTTTTTTTTTTTTTTTTTTTTTTTGAGATGGAGTCTCACTCTGTCACCCAGGCTGGAGTGCAGTGGCATGATCTCAGCTCACTGCAACCTCTGCCTTCTGGGTTCAAGCAATTCTCCTGCCTCAGCCTCCCCAATAACTGGGATTACAGGTGCCCGCCACTACGCCCAGCTAATTTTTTGTATTTTTAGTAGAGACGAGGTTTCACCATGTTGGCCAGGCTGGTCTCAAACTCCTGACCCTGTGATTCACCTGCCTTGGCCTCCCAAAGTGCTGGGATTACAGGCGTGAGCCACCACACCTGGCCCAGAGCCTTGAAATTCTAAAGCCACATGCTCTGTCCTTTGCTGCCTGCTTACCACAGACTATGTCAAACCAGTTATGCTCCCTTCTCTTTTTATTGTTGCAAATTCATGCTTTTGATTTTAAAGGACACTTCTCTTTTCATATGACAATCTAACCAGTATCTCTTTTTGTTTGTTTGTTTGTTTAAAGCATATAATTCTAGGTCCCTAGCCAAGATGTCTATTTGGAAATACTCTACAACCAGTTTCTGTGTGTCTGTGTGCTTGAGAGTCGCAAAAGTGTAGTTAGTTTGCAACTTTTCATAATTGAAATTGGCACCTTCAATCTGTGTGAATTACGAAGTACTTCTGCAACACCATATCAAGATAGCTAATATACACTCAATTGAAGAGGACAACCTTCTGCAACGGAGAAGGACCGTTCTTCATTCAAGGGTGTATGAGTAGCTGCACTCCCCTACTAGAAACTCCAAACAAGTTCTCAAAATAGCTAAATACTATTTACACGGTGAACCATAGTTGCCTTTAAGCGATTGCATTCTGCAGGTTTCCATCACTCGTCATCCTCGGAGACCACCCAGCTGTGGCCCACAGTGTACAGGAGTCCTCCTAACTGCAGCTGCTTTCTAGGTTCTGTGTCACAGTCTTCTCTTTCCTTTCGATTTTATGTGGACCATCACACCAGTGCCTCCACTTCAAATCTTATCTCTGTGCCAATGATGTCTTATCCATTATCTCTTTGCCCAAGTTCTTTCCCAACTCGATATTTGATTTGCAGACACAAACTTCTACCTTCTGCACACTCATGGGGAAACCTTATCTCTGTCTTAAAAATAACATGGCTGCAATTTCTCCCTTTCCCCTATCCTCATAGCTTCTTCCCTAATTTACTATTGATGTTAGTTGACTCTGTTCTTCAGCCACTTCATCTCAAAACTCTTTAACTTCTCTCTCCCGCCCTCCCTCTTGCCGCTCTGTGATCCAGTTGATTTCTAACTGATGAATATTTAGTCTTCACTTTGCATCCCATAATTCTAGTCCTCTTTCCACTTATATGTGTCCTAGGGAGTGCCCCCAGTGCTCTACTCTGGGACTGATTCACCCCTAATGACGTCTGTCTGCTTCTAGTCCCTCCTTGTTAATCATGAACTCCACACACACATTCAGGTTCCTCAATTTCTCATACCCCTCTAGCACTCAGAAACCTCTAGTGACTCTTCAGCGTGACATTCAAAGCTCTCCTCAGTTTCACTCCTATCTGTATTTCTAACTGTAACTTTTGTGGCCCCGTACACCAGCAAAATAACATTTCTACCTATTTTCTGGGCAAGATTCATATTTCATCTCTTACGTCTTTGCACATACTCCTCTCTTTACATGGAATTCTTTCCCCTCTCATACTGCCTGGTGACATTTCTACCCATTACGTGCTCAGAGATTTAAACAGTGACATATGTCTGGAGATTTATTTATAATGGCTAAAAAGGAAAGAAAAGGGAACAGCCTGTGAATCTAACAATAGAATGGTAAAATTATTCTACGTGCACTTAATGAAACATGATGCAGGCATTAAATATGCCTTCCAGAAATATTTAATGAAAAATGCAAGTTCCAAAATTCTATCTGCATATAGATTTTTATTTATATATTTGTATATTAATATATGCATATTCATAGTGCATATATCAGTTATGAATATGCACAAGTGCACACAACAAAAATGAACAATGGCTTAATTATATCAGTTTGGTTGTTTTATGCAACAGGAAGTGGGTAAACAGCTCAGGACTGCTATGATGACTCAAGGAAACGACCAAGGACCCTGGGTCTTTCTGCCTTTATCCTCATGTTGGTTGCCTCATGGTCAAAAGGGGGCTGAAAACCCCATAGGTCTCTCATCTGTGTTCCAGGTAGCAGGCAGTGAGAAGGATAATGATACAAGAGGGAGAAGACACAGCAATTTTTCCTGCTGAGACTTTGACTCTATTGAGGAATGGGGGTCCCCTAGGCACTTCTCTTACATTTCACTGGCTGCCACCTGACCGTCTCTGGCTAGAGAGAAGGGGTTGTGGCCAGATGCTGGATCAACCAATAGGCAGAGTTTGCCATAGTGGATATGCCTGTAAGATTAATTTCAGATTTGATTTTAATCTCCTTTGATGCTAGGATAATATGCATGTATTACTTTTATATCAGTGAAAAATTGAAAATTTAAGAAGCTACCTATCTCACGATGAATGTTATCTCCTCCTTAAAGCCTTCATTTTAATAAGTGGATGAGGTGTTTGTTTGCTTATTTGCCTCAGGTATATGTGGACATAGGATAGATTTTAGAATCAGAAAACCATGAGTTCAGATTCCTTTGCGTCCATGACTAAACTGCATAATCTTTGAAAGCCTAGTTTCTTCATCTGCAAAATGTTGATTATACTATACTGTCTTATGGGGCTTTTGTGAAGATTACATTAAATTGAATGAGAAAATATAGAAGAGACTAATAGCTTGTCAATCACTAGTTGTTTTTTTTCTCTTGAAAATTCTTGAAATACAGTATCTCTCATTTACCTCTCTTTTGCTCTTTGTTTTAACTGCATAGTTTCTCATTTCTCAACATTTTTTGGGAAGGCCAGTGACTATACCTTTTTTTAAAGAAACTTTAAAAAAAATATATTCCTTACAGCCCAGGCCAGGTATGGTGGCTCATGCCTATAATCCCAGCACTTGGGGAAGCCAAGGCGGGTGGATCACTTGAGGTGAGGAGTTCAAGACCAGCCTGACCAACATGGTGAAACCCCATCTCTACTAAAAGTACAAAAATTAACTGGGCATGGTGGCAGACACTTGCAATCCCAGCTACTCGGGAGGCTGAGGCAGGAGGTTCGCTTGAACCCGGGAGGTGGAGGTTGCAGTGAGCTGAGATTATACCACTGCACTCCAGCCTGGGTGACAGAGTGAGACTCCATCTCAAAAAAGAAAAAAAAAAGTATATATATATATATCTCTCTTCATTCCTTACAGAATTCAGAATAGTGCCTATAGCCTGTAGTATATGAGCAACCAATATATTAAAATTGAATTGATATTTTATTTAAAATACTTGAATGATCCGTCATGGGATAATTGCCAAGAAATTGATGGTATCACTTTTCCTCCACACTCTGGGCTAGGACATGGGTAATGAATTGGGATTGTTGCCAAGCACCTATTTCTGGGTAATCACTCTGAGTTTGTGCTGACAGATGCTGGCTCCACATTAGTCATCGAGAAGCCACAGGGGTGTAGGGTCTTCTAGAATACTGTCAACACCGCAAGCTGTGAGGCTTTTTCATCCTGTCCAAGAAAAAAAATATAGTAAAAGACTCTCATGTCAAATTTAAAATGCCAACCTTAAAAAAAAATAGCAGAGAGGTTTATTCTTTTCATTCTATTTCAATGATGTAGCCAGTGTAAGATGTTAGAAAATGAAAAGGGAGACCCATTAAAGTTCTAATTAGGGGAATTAATTAAGAGACTCTTAAGGGAATTATGAGTATGATTCTCTAACAAATAAACAGTTTCCCTTGTATAATATCTCTCTACCCCAGGCAAGGCTTGTGGTGCTGTGTTGTCATTGCTCTTGTCTTACCTGAAAGTAATACAGAATTTTGTTTATGGATGTCTAAAACTAGCTACAGTTATTTTTTTGCCCTCTTCCCTAAGTCAAAATTATGAAAAGAATACATACTATTCACAGTTTTATTAATATTCCTGGTCATAATGCTCCCAAATAATACATGCATCTAATAATTCCATTCTAGGAGTTTCCAGTCTGATGTATTGATAAGTGCTTATACCCACTCTTTCTCCCTTACTGTCTTTAGTTTCTTGTTGTTGTTGTTGTTGGAAGCACCCTGGCCTGTGGTAGGTTCCCATTGCATTTGGCAAACAAAGCATTATTCATTGGAGTAGCTATGTGGGGCTGGGCTGCGTTGATTATATGGGGCCAGTTGGGAGACAGCCTCATTTATTTCGGGAACACACTGTGACAAATGTATGTGTTCCCGGTGGATTCCAAATGCCATAAACATAGGCAGCCAGCTGTCTTGGTAAGTCACCATTGCTCAAGTCTTCCGGCATTGTTTTATGCAATGTGATGCTCAGCAGGTCAAACTACCTGCTTTAAGAAGCCTGCTACAGGGAGGAGGAGAAACAGCAGGAATTGGGGGAAGAAGTCCTGGGGCTCCATGGGAAAGTTCTGGTGGTCCATTCCAGGGTTCTGACTCTTGGATCTCATCTGTTGATTGCCCTGCACCTCAGGAATCCATTTGTCCTCCCCTACGGGAAAAACAGCAAAGTACTTCAACTGCTTACTGCTCTTCCATCCACAGTCACCTGTGTTTCTGATACTCTTGCTTTTCTCTGATAGTGCAGTGGGTCCCAAAAGTGGATAGTAAGGAATTTCAAACCTCAAGTTTAAAAATCAGTTGAATCTTAACTTCTCAGAGTCAGAAGACAACTGAGGCTGGGCACGGTAGCTCACATTGTAATCCCAGCACTTTGGGAGGCTGAGGTGGGTGGATCACTTGAGGACAGGAGTTCGAGACTAGCCTGGCCGACAGGGCAAAACCCAGTCTCTACTAAAAATACAAAAATTAACCAGGCGTTGCGGTGGGCTCCTGTAACCCCAGCTACTTGGAAGGCTGAGGCACAAGAATTGCTTGAACCCAGCAGGTGGAGATCGCGCCACTGCACTCCAGCCTGGTTGACAGAGCAAGACTCCATCTCAAAAAATAAAAATAATTTTAAAAAAAGAAGACAACTGAAAGCTGTGGTTTCCAAACTGTGCAGTGAGGTAGAGCCTGGGGCACCACAGCAAATTCACGTAGGTGCTGTGGATATTTCAAATCTTCAAGGCAAACCTAGTAAAATTTGTTGCTCTGGTCACCACGGAAGCTATTATTTTGAAGTAGTTCATAATTTCAGTGTTCATGGCGAAACTAGGATTTTGGTGTTTGCTGTAACAGAAAGCAGGGGTTAGGCAAAACTCTTTGTAGAACAAGAAATGAAGCACTTTGCAATCGATTCCAAGGTTTGAAAAGCTGTGCAGTGCTGAACAGGTCCACACATCCCATTAGTGCGTAACTGTGGGAATGAAAAATTAATGCGTACAACTTTTTTCAAACAGCTACAAAGTTGTTAGGATATAAATAAATATGAAGTCATTTGGACCTAACTACATAAACAATCAAACTTAGGTGTTTCTTTTATTTATTTTTATTTATTTATTTATTTTGAGACGGAGTCTCGCTCTGTCGCCCAGGCTGGAGTGCAGTGGCGCGATCTCTGCTCACTGCGAGCTCCGCCTCCCGGGTTCACGCCATTCTACTGCCTCAGACCTCCCCAGTAGCTGGGACTACAGGGGCCCGCCACCACGCCTGCCTAATTTTTTGTATTTTTAGTAGAGACGGGTTTCACCGTGTTAGCCAAGATGGTCTGGATCTCCTGACCTCATGATCCACCTGCCTCGGCCTCCCAAAGTGCTGGGATTACAGGCGTGAGCCACCGCGCCCGGCCTAGGTGTTTGTTTTGGCTTAGGGATGTCATGAAACAATAATTGAGACACGAAGGGTACTGTGATCCAAGAAAATTTGAGAACCTCTGCCTTCGAGTTCAGCTAGTCCAACTAGTCTGATGTACTAATAATTGCTTTTCCCCTTACTCTCTTTATTTCCTCTTTTTGGAAGCACCATGACCGGCGGTGGGTTCTCATTGCATTTGACAAATAAAGCATTATACATTATGGTAGCCATGTGGGGCTGGGATGATTTGATTATACAGGGCCAGTTGAGAGACAGCCCACTTGATAATATTTGACAGTCATTGGATAACATTACAAATATTTAACAAGGAATGATGTCTTAATAAGATACTCAAACTATAGTAAAGCAAAGCATGCTACCATTTATCACCAGCAATACTTATTAAAATTTTAAAAGATATATATTTGCTCTAGAACTGGTGGGTCTGAACTCATCCTCAGAAGCCTGTGGGAGAAATCATACTTTTAATAAAGCAAGATTAAGATAACCCAAACACACACATAACATGTTACTAGGCTCATAATTTTGAGTAAGAGCTTTGTTGAGATTACAAATGATGTTTTGAAATGAATACTTGAGTTAGGGATGGAGTTAGTGGAAATTATATCAATATTCCACTTTCCTTTTGCTGTTGTTTCTTACCTAAGTTACAGTAACATGAACTCAAACCTCCACCATTCCTTTTCTTTAGATGGTACTATGATTGGCTTTTTTATTTTTATTTATTTATTCGTTTTATTTTTTTGAGACAGAGTCTCACTCTGTTGCCCAGGCTGGAGTGCAGTGGCGCGATCTTGCCTCACTGCAACCTCCGTCTCCTGGGTTCAAGAGATTCCTGTGCCTCAGCCTCCCAAGTAGCTGGGATTTCGGGCGTGTGCCACCATGCCCGGCTAATTTTTGTATTTTTAGTAGAGATGGTTTTTCGCCATGTTGGCCAGGCTGATCTTGAACTCCTGATCTCAAGTGATCCACCTGCCTCGGCCTCCCAAAGTGCTGGAATTACAAGCGTGAGCCACTGCGCCCTGCCAGTGCTATAGCTGGTTTTCTATTTGCCCTTGATTGTATTTGGGAATTTGGGAACAAAGACCATCACAAAGTGAAGATGACATGTAATCAAGGGGTGCAAGGAAAGGTAGGGAATAAGCCCTGGACATGATACAGATAGAGACAGAGATAGAGGTAGGTATAAATAATTTCAGAATAGTTTTTTCAAAACCACTTAAAACTCACACCAATTTGGCGAATGCCTCTGGAGAAACTAAAAAAAAATTTCTTTGGTGTCTTAGGGATACCCATGGCCAAGTATCAGAAAGTTTTACTTGTTGAGTTTAACCTGAATGACAGAGCAGTTGTGAGTTATTTGCCACTGGGAGAGGATTCACTAGCTCCCAGAGCTGCAGGGCTTCCAGATCTACAGGGAACAACTGCGTGAGAGGAGAGGCAGATGTCAGGCAAGGCCAACTGAGTTCTCCCTTTAAAATATGGATCAGAATCATCATTAATCAAACAGCAAATACTTTCAAGCTCTGTCTTTAGGGAAGCAACTATATGTACATTGGCAAAGAAGATTGTATAGACTGTGGGTGGCCTGGGATGCTAAATTTAAAAGTTTGAGGTTTATCTTTTCTACAGTGAAGGACCACTGAAGATTTTTGATTTAATGAAAGAAGTATTTTCCCAGCACTTTGGGAGGTCAGGGCAGGTGGATCATGAGGTCAAGAGATCGAGACCGTCCTGGCCAACATGGTGAAACCCCATCTCTACTAAAAATACAAAAATTAGCTAGGCATGGTGGTGAGTGCCTGGAGTCCCAGAAATCACTTGAACCTGGGAGATGGAGGTGGTTGCAGTGAGCCGAGATCTCGCCACTGCACTACAGCCTGGTGACAGAGTGAGACTCTGTCTCAAAACAAAACAAAACAAAAAAAAACCATTGAAGAGACATTTTTACAAGCAGTCAGTGGTACTTTAAAGCCCTTCATTGGAGCTGCTTCGAGAATAGTGTTGGGCTCAGGAGGCAGAGGATGTTTAATGTTCTCTACAGCAGTGCTATCCAACAGAAATATAATGAGACCATGTATGTTATGCTAAGTCTTCTGCATGTTAAAAAAAATTTAAAGCCAAAAAATATTTAACCCAACACATCAATATTAAAAATTATCGATATATTTTACATTATTGATACTAAGTCTCCTAAATCCAGTGTATATTTTACACATATAAACATTTGTCCATTGGGTCTAGCCACATTTTAAGTGTTCAATAGCTACATGTGGCTTTTCACTACTGTATCAGACAGAGCAGGCCCATCGCCTTGCTACTGCAAGTGTGATCTGCAGACCAGCAGTATTGGCATCATTTGAGAGCTTGTTAGAAATGCAGAATTCTCATGCCCTACCTCCGACCTATTGAATGAGAGGATAAATTTTAATAATTCAAATCACCCCAGGTGATTTGTGTGCATGTTAAAGTCTAGAAGCACTGACTTCTAGCACAGTGGTTCTCAGCATGATCCTTAGACCAGGGACAGCAGCTGCTTTACCACCTGGGAAATTTGTGGGGTTTTTTGTGTTTTTTTGTTTGTTTGTTTGTTTGTTTGTTTTTTGAGACCTAGTCTTCCTCTGTCACCCAGGCTGGAGTGCAGTGGCATGATCTCAGCTCACTGCAGCCTTGACCTCCTGGGCTCAGGTGACCCTCCTGCCTCAGCTTCCCAAGTAGCTGGGAACATAGATATGTACCATAACACCTGGTTAATTTTTCAAAATTATTTGTAGAGACAGGGTCTCCCTATGTTGCCCAGGTTGATCTCAAACTCCTGAGCTCAAGCGATCCTCCTGCCTTGGTCTCCCAAAGTGCTGGGATTACAGGCATGAGCCACCACGCCCATCCCCACCTGGCAAATCCTTGAGTTCCAACACAGACCTATTAAATAGAAACTCTGGAGCCAGAAATTTAGTTCTAACAAGCCGTCCAGGTGATTCCTATGGACATTCAAGTTTGA
Organism: Homo sapiens; assembly: GCF_000001405.40. Taxonomy (NCBI): domain Eukaryota; kingdom Metazoa; phylum Chordata; class Mammalia; order Primates; family Hominidae; genus Homo; species Homo sapiens. The sequence continues at coordinate 242,180,586 of NC_000001.11, read as the reverse complement.
GAACCACTATTTTAGAACATCTTTCTCTAGCAAAAATATTGTTATCTTCCCTATGGACCTTATATTTTGATTTTTTTTTCTAATTCAATTTTTTAAGGAACTAATATAGCTTGGCACTATCATTACTCAACACACCTCTCTTCATTGATACCACAGGGAGGGAAATGGAAACCTACTAGGATATTCTATTATTAAACATATATTGATATATATGCATATATATACAACTATTGAAATAAGTTTCAATAATAATTTCTGGTCAGTATGTAATAAAAGCTACAATGTATTGAGCATTTCCTGTGTCTTCAGCCCTATATTGATATTTTACACATATTTTCTCTAGCCCTCTTCTAGCTCTTTGTAAGGTAGGCTGAAATATAGGAATATCCACATCTCACAATGAGTGCCCTAGTTTCCCAGGGCTTACATCTGGTCGGTGACACAGCCAGGACCCCACCTTGGTCAGCCTGATCCCAACGCCTGTGTGTACCACTCACTACCCTGCATAAGCATTACCCTGCTATGTTTAAATAAACTAAAAGCAAAAGCACTCGAGATTTTAGTGAGTGTGCACTGAAAGTGTGATGATATTTGAAACACTGAAAATAGCTCACAGGTTAACCATCAACTGTCCTCCCTACACACACACACACACACACACACACTCAATTTTGGTTTTGTTTTGAGACAGAGTCTCACTCTGTCACCTAGGCTGGAGTGCAGTGGCAAAATCTCAGCTCACTGCAACCTCCGCCTCCTGGCTTCAAGCAATTCTCCTACCTCAGCCTCCCGAGTAGCTGGGACCACTGCCATGCACCACCATGCCCGGCTAATTTTTGTATTTTTAGTAGAGATGGGGTTTCACCTTGCTGGCCAGGATGGTCTCAAACTTTTGACCTCAAGTGATCTGCCCGCCTCGGCCTCCCAAAATGCTGGGATTACAGACGTGAGCCACTGTGCCTGGCCTATACACACTCAATTCTACCTATACTACCTACAATGATCTCTGGTTAGAAACCACAGCCCAGGGCAGCACAGGCTCAGATAAATCCAAAGAAGACAAGGGTAACACAGCATTGAATATCTTCACAGCAGCACAGCAGTGGCTGACAGTGAGGGACTGAGAGAATAGGGGTGGGAAGAAATCGAGTCCTCTGCCTATCAAAAGAGTCTTTAATCACTGACATTGTTTAGAATTGCTGGTACCAGATAAACCAACAGAGCTTTTGGAATTTATTTTTAAATTCCCTGCAGACAAGGCCTCCTTTGATTGCCCTAGAACAGAATGCTCCGTCTGCTCCCCTTGCCCTCATTATTTCACTGCCTTGTTGAAAATAACGGGATATTTTGCTAAGGGTCTGTCCTGATGCTTCCCTAGGGTTTGGAATGTTTTGATTGGGGGCACAAGAAATCTACACCATAAAAGTCTCCAGGAGAGAAGGTAATTGCCCCACTCATGCCACTCTATCACCTCCCACATTGCTCTGCATGAGTGGCTCACCTGCAAGTGATTGCTCATGCAATTACATAAAACAAGTAGATGAACAACTGGATATAACAATTCAAATATTCTCTTCAGGGTTCCCTGAATATTCAGCTCCCCCTTGGCAACCGTCTACGTGTTCCCTGGGTAATTTCTGGATACACTGCAGTGTTGAAGAGGACTCTGATAATTAGCTTCAAATTGTTTTCCGTCCCACAGCAAAGTATCTTTGCACTGGAGTAGAATGTAAAGACACAAAGCCAGCCATTTTCCTGAAATATAACATGTTTATGTCCTTTCTAGACATATGGAGGGATCAGTGGCTTCTTGATAGGGTGAAATGTAGTACTTATTTTCTAAAGTCAATCATCATTTTTGTTTCATTCTATAATAACACAGATTCTGCAACATGGCAGCAGCTTGGGATTCTGTGGAGACTACATTGTGATTTGAGTGTTAATTAACGCATTTGTAGCTGGCAGCATAATACAAACATCCTTCTCTCTCGACAGAATCATTGCAACAACACCATCTTGTCTTCCTGAAAACCTATGCTTTGAAAATAGCCTGGGAAAGTCAGCACCAGAGTAGTCATTGGAAAGCACCTAGGAAGAAAAATACAGCCTTATGATGGATTTGTGAAGAAAAATTCTCATGATAAAAGCTTCATTTCTCTCCAGGACACAGTGAGGGACCCCATAGATGAGAGCAATGCAAGTGCATTGTGCTGGGACTTACTGAGTTGTGATAACTGACGAGGTTTCTATTCTGCCGGCAGAAGTGGACTTGGAACATGGGAAGTCTAGAAGCTGGAACACAAGATAGGTTAGAGCACCAATAATACATGCAGAAAGATGGAATAGCTAAAGGTTTATAATGAACATATAAATGGCAAGTGTATATATGGGCGATCACAATAGCATTTCAGCACATAGAGACTGGGTGAAGATATTATAGTTCTAGATGCTGGATAAGCTTTAACCTGGTAGGTTGTTAGAAATCATTGGTCAGCACAAAGGATAGCTCAGGGAATGTGTACATTTGTTATCAATTAAGCCATTTTATCTAAATGCAGACAGTTGATTAGCACTTATTTCACCTATTTCAAGAAGTGGGCACCAGCCCAATGGTAAAAGACCAGTAATTCGCATCCAGCCTGGGCCCCCAGTGTCAGAGCCTGAATCTTTGCACCGGACTCACCGTGTTGGTCCCTGCCATGTGTCCCAGATGGGTTTGTAGACCTTGTGGAAGGCGATTTGGTAACTTGCTGCCCGTGCACTTTTGGGCTCAGTAGTGACAAAGGATCAGTGGAAATCCCCTGTCTGGAGGCCTTGCTAGCTTGTTCCTGGATCCCAGCAGAGGGGGCCCTGTACTCCTTTTGAAAGAGGAATACTTATTTATAGATTTTATGGAAAATTATGAGATTCTCAAGAGTTGCCAGTCTGAAAAGCAAAAAACAATTAGGTTGACCTGCTCTAATTTAAAAGCATTTACCTGGAATTGTTGTGGTTTTTGTTTGCTCTTCAGTGCAAATTTTTTTTATTTTTATAAGTTCTAGGGTACATGTACAAAACGTGCAGTTTTGTTACATAGGTACACACGTGCCATGGTGGTTTGCTGCACCCATCAACCCGTCACCTACATTAGGTATTTCTCCTAATGCTATCCCTCCCATAGCCCCCTACCACCCAACAGGCCCCGGTGTGTGTTGTTCCCCTCCCTGTGTCTGTCTGTTCTCATTGTTCAACTCTCACTTATGAGTGAGAACATGTGGTGTTTGGTTTTCTGTTCCTGTGTTAGTTTGATGAGAATGGTGGTTTCCAGCTTCATCCATGTGCCTGCAAAGAACATGAACTCATCATTTTTTATGGCTCCATAGTATTCCATGGTATATATGTGCCACATTTTCTTTATCCAGTCTATCAATCACTGATGGACATTTGGGTTGCTACTGTGAACAGTGCTGCAATAAACATATGTGTACATGTGTCTTTATAGTAGAATGATTTATAATCCTTTGGGTATATATCCAGTAATGGGATTGTTGGGTTAAATGGTATTTCTGGTTCTAGATCCTTGAGGAATTGCCACACTGTCTTCCACAATGATTGAACTAATTTACACTCCCACCAACAGTGTGCAAGCTTTCCTATTTGTCCACATCCTCTCCAGCATCTGTTGTTTCCTGACTTTTAAATTATCCCCATACTAACTGGTATGAGATGGTATCTCATTGTGGTTTTGATTTGCATTTATTTGATGACCAGTGATGATAAACTTTTTTCATATGTTTGTTGGCTGCAGAAATGCCTTATTTTGAGAGGTGTCTGTTCATATCCTTTGGACACTTTCTGATGGTTTTTCTTCTTGTAAATTTGTTTAAGTTCTTTGTAGATGCTGGATATTAGCCCTTTGTCAGATGGATAGATTGCAAAAATTTTCTCTCATTCTGTAGGTTGCCTGTTCACTGATGATAGTTTATTTTGCTGTGCAGAAGCTCTTTAGTGTAATTAAGTCCCATTTGTCAAATTTGGCTTTGTTTCCATTGTTTTTGGTGCTTTAGACATGAAGTCTTTGCCCATACCTATGTCCTGAATGGTATTGCCTAGGTTTTCTTCTAGGATTTTTATGGTTTTCCATCTTACATTTAAGTCTTTAATCCATCTTGAGTTAATTTTTGTATAAACTATAAGGAAGGGGTACAGCGTCAGTTTTCTGCATATGGCTAGCCAGTTTCCCCAACACCATTTATTAAATAGGGAATCCTTTCCCCATTGCTTCTTTGGGTCAGATTTGTCAAAGATCAGGTGGTTGTAGATGTGTGGTGTTATTTCTGAGGGCTCTGTTCTGTTCCATTGTTCTATATGTCTGTTTTGGTACCAGTACCATGCTGTTTTTGTTACTGTAGCTTTGTAGTATAGTTTGAAGTCAGGTAGCATGATGCCTCCAGCTTTATTCTTTTTATTTAGGATTGTCTTGGCTATGCGGGCTCTTTTTTGGTTCCATATGAACTTTAAAGCAGTTTTTTCTGATTCTATGAAGAAAGTCAATGGTAGCTTGATGGGGATAACATTGAATCTATAAATTACTTTGGGCAGTATGGCCATTTTCATGATATTGATTCTTCCCATCCATGAGCATGGGATGTTTTTCCATTTGTTTGTGTCCTCTCTTATTTCCTTGAGCAGTGGTTTGTAGTTCTCCTTGAAGAGGTCCTTTACACCCCTTGGTAAGTTCTATTCCATTAGTAGCAATTGCAAATGGGAGTTCACTCATGATTTGGCTCTCTGTTTGTCTATTATTGGTGTATAGGAATGCCTGTGATATTTGCACATTGATTTTGTATCCTGAGACTTTGCTGAAGTTGCTTATCAGCTTAAGGAGATTTTGCACTGAGACAGTGGTATTTTCTAAATATACAATCATGTCATCTGCAAACAGAGACAATTTGATTTCCTCTCTTCCTATTTGAATACGCTTTATTTCTTTCTCTTGCCTGATTGTCCTGGCCAGAACTTCCAATACTATACTGAATAGGAGTAGTGAGAGAAGGCATCCTTGTCTTATGCTGGTTTTCAAAGGGAATGCTTCCAGTTTTTGCCCATTCCAGATGATATTGATGTGGGTTTATCATAAATAGCTCTTATTATTTTGAGATACATTCTATTGATACCTAGTCTGTTGAGAGTTTTTAGTATGAAGGGGTGTTGAATTTTGTTGAAGGCCTTTTCTGCATCTATTGAGATAATCGTGATTTTTGTCATTGGTTCTGTTTATGTGATGGATTACATTTATTGATTTGCATATGTTGAACCAGCCATGCATCCTAGGGACAAAGCCAACTTGATCGTGGTGGATACGCTTTTTCATATGCTGCTGGATTTGGTTTGTCAGTATTTTATTGAGGATTTTCACATCCATGTTCATCAGGGATATTGGCCTGAAATTTTCTTTTTTTGCTGTGTCTCTGCCTGGTTTTGGTATCAGGATGATGCTGGCCTCATAAAATGAGTTAGGGAGGATTCCCTCTTTTTCTATTGTTTGGAATAGTTTTTTTTTATTATTATACTTTAAGTTCTAGGGTACATGTGCACAACGTGCAGGTTTGTTACATATGTATACATGTGCCATGTTGGTATGCTGCACCCAATAACTCATCATTTACATTAGGTATATCTCCTAATGCTATCCCTCCCCCCACCTCATGACCGGCCCCGGTGTGTGACGTTCCCCTTCCTATGTCCAGGTGTTCTCATTGTTCAGTTCCCACCTATGAGTGAGAACATGCGGTGTTTGGTTTTTTGTCCTTGTGATAGTTTGCTGAGAATGATGGTTTCCAGCTTCATCCATGTCCCTACAAAGGACATGAACTCATCATTTTTTATGGCTGCATAGTATTCCATGGTGTATATGTGCCATGTTTTCTTAATCCAATCTATCATTGATGGACATTTGGGTTGGTTCCAAGTCTTTGCTATTGTGAATGGTGCCACAGTAAACATACATGCGCATGTGTCTTTATAGTAGCATGATTTATAATCCTTTGGGTACATACCCAGTAATGGGATGGCTGGGTCAAATGGTATTTCTAGTTCTAGATCCCTGAGGAATCGCCACACTGACTTCCACAATGGTTGAACTAGTTTACAGTCCCACCAACAGTGTAAAAGTGTTCCTATTTCTCCACATCCTCTCCAGCACCTGTTGTTTCCTGACTTTTTAATGATCGCCATTCTAACTGGTGTGAGGTGGTATCCCATTGTGGTTTTGATTTGCAATTCTCTGATGGCCAGTGATGATGAGCATTTTTTCATGTGTCTGTTGGCTGCATAAATGTCTTCTTTTGAGAAGTGTCTGTTCATATCCTTCACCCACTTTTTGATGGGGTTGTTTGTTTTTTTCTTGTAAATTTGTCTGAGTTCTTTGTAGATTCTGGATATTAGCCCTTTGTCAGATGAGTAGATTGCAAAAATTTTCTCCCATTCTGTAGGTTGCCTGTTCACTCTGATGGTAGTTTCTTTTGCTGTGCAGAAGCTCTTTAGTTTAATTAGATCCCATTTGTCCATTTTGGCTTTTGTTGCCATTGCTTTTGGTGTTTTAGACATGAAGTTCTTGCCCATGCCTATGTCCCGAATGGTATTACCTAGGTTTTCTTCTAGGGTTTTTATGGTTTTAGATCTAACATTTAAGTCTTTAATCCATCTTGAATTAACTTTTGTAAAAGGTGTAAGGAAGGGATCCAGTTTCAGCTTTCTACATATGGCTAGCCAGTTTTCCCAGCACCATTTATTAAATAGGGAATCCTTTCCCCATTTCTTGTTTTTGTCAGGTTTGTCAAAGATCAGATGGTTGTAGATGTGTGGTATTATTTCTGAGGGCTCTGTTCTATTCCATTGGTCTATATCTCTGTTTTGGTACCAGTACCATGCTGATTTTTGGTTACTGTAGTCTTGTAGTATAGTTTGAAGTCAGGTAGCATGATGCCTCCAGCTTTGTACTTTTGGCTTAGGATTGTCTTGGCAATGCAGGCTCTTTTTTGGTTCCATATGAACTTTAATTTTTTCCAATTCTGTGAAGAAAGTCATTGGTAGCTTGATGGGGATGGCATTGAATCTATAAATTACCTTGGGCAGTATGGCCATTTTCACGATATTGATTCTTCCTATCCATGAGCATGGAATGTTCTTCCATTTGTTTGTATCCTCTTTTATTTCGTTGAACAGTGGTTTGTAGTTCTCCTTGAAGAGGTCCTTCACATCCCTTGTAAGTTGGATTCCTAGGTATTTTATTCTCTTTGAAGCAATTGTGAATGGGAGTTTACTCATGATTTGGCTCTCTGTCTGTTATTGGTATAGAGGAATGCTTGTGATTTTTGCACCTTGATTTTGTATCCTGAGACTTTACTGAAGTTGCTTATCAGCTTAAGGAGATTTTGGGCTGAGACGATGGGGTTTTCTAGATATACAATCATGTCATCTGCAAACAGGGACAATTTGACTTCCTCTTTTCCTAATTGAATACCCTTTATTTCTTTCTCCTGCCTGATTGCCCTGGCCAGAACTTCCAACACTATGTTGAATAGGAGTGGTGAGAGAGGGCATCCCTGTCTTGTTTGGAATAATTTCAGAAGGAATGGTACCAGCTCCTCTTTGTACCTCTGGTAGAATTTGGCTGTGAATCCCTCTGGTCCTGGACTTTTTTTTTTGTTTGATAGGCTGTTAATTAGTGCCTCAATTCAGAACTTGTTACTGGTCTATTCAGGGATTTGACTTCTTCCTGGTTTAGACTTGGGAGGGTGTATGTGTCCAGGAATTTATCCATTTCTTCTAGATTTTCTGGTCTATATGCGTAGAGGTGTTTATTGTATTCTCTGATGGTAGTTTGTATTTCTGTGGGATCTGTGGTAATATCCCCTTTATCATTTTTCTTGTGTCTATTTGATTCTTCTCTATTTTCTTGTTTATTTGTTTGGCTAGAAGTCTATCTATTTTGTTGATCTTTTCAAAAATCCAGCTCCTGGATTCATTGATTTTTTTGAAGGGTTTTTTGTGTCTCTATCGCCTTCACTTCTACTCTGATCTTAGTTATTTCTTGTCTTCTGCTAGCTTTTGAATTTGTTTGCTCTTGCTTCTCTAGTTCTTTTAATTGTGATGTTAGGGTGTCGATTTTAGATCTTCCCTGCTTTCTCTTATGGGCATTTAGTGCTATCAGTTTCCCTCTACACACCACTTTCAGTGTGTCCCAGAGATTCTGGTACATTGTGTCTTTGTTCTCATTGGTTTCAAAGAACATCTTTATTTCTGCCTTCATTTCGTTATTTACCCAGTAGTCATTCAGGAGCAGGTTGTTCAGTTTCCATGTAGTTGTGCAGTTTTGAGTGAATTTCTTAATTCTGAGTTCTAATTTGATTGCACTGTGGTCTGAGAGACTGTTATGATTTCCATTCTTTTGCATTTGCTGAGGAGTGTTTTCCTTCAATTACGTGGTCAATTTTAGAATAAGTGCAATGAGGTGCTGCAAAGCATGTATGTTCTGTTGATTTGGGGTGGAGAGTTCTGTAGATGTCTATTAGGTCCGCTTGGAGTTAAAGTCCTGAATATCTTCGTTGATTTTCTGTCTCATTGGTCTAATATTGACAGTGGGGTGTTCAAGTCTCCCACTATTATTGTGTGGGAGTCTTTGTCTCTTTGTAGGTCTCTTAGAACTTGCTTTATGAATCTAGGTGCTCCTGTATTGGGTGCATATATATTTATGATGATAAGCTCTTCTTGTTGCACTGATCCCTTTACCACTATGTAATGCCCTTCTTTGTCTTTTTTGATCTTTGTTGGTTTAAAGTCTGTTTTATTAGAGATTAGGATTGCAACTCCTGCTCTTTTTTTTTTTCTTTCCATTTGCTTGGTAAATATTCCTCCCTCTCTTTATTTTGAGCCTATGTGGTTTTTTCCATGTGAGATGGGTCTCCTGAATACAGCACACTGATGGGTCTTGACTCTTTGTCCAGTTTTCCAGTCTGTATCTTTTAATTGGGGTCTTTAGCCTGTTTACATTTAAGGTTAATATTGTTATGCATGAATTTGATCCTGTCATTGTGATGCTAGCTGATTATTTTGCCCATTAGTAGATGCAGTTTCTTCCTAGTGTCGATGGTCTTTACAATTTGGTATGTTTTTGCAAAACACCCAGCTAGTACCAGGTGTTCCTTTCCATGTTTAGTGCTTCCTTCAAGAGCTCCTGTAAGGCAGGCCTGGTGGTGACAAAATCTCTCAGCATTTGCTTGTCTGTAAAGGATTTTATTTCTCCTTCAGTTATGAAGCTCTGTTTGGCTGGATATGAAATTCTGAGTTTAAAATTCTTTTAAGAATGTTGAATATTGGCCCCCACTCTCTTCTGGCTTGTAGGCTTTCTGCAGAGAGATCTACTGTTAGTCTGATGAGCTTCCCTTTGTGGATAACATGACCTTTCTCTCTGGCTGCCCTTAACATTTTTTCCCTCATTTCAACCCTGTTGTATCTGACGATTATGTGTCTTGGGGTTGCTCTGCTCGAGGAGTATCTTTGTGGTGTTCTCTGTATTTCCTAAATTTGAATGTTGGCCTGTCTTGCTAGGTTGGGAAGTTCTCCTGGATAATATCCTAAAGAGTTTTCCAGCTTGGTTCCATTCTCCCTGTCACTTTCAGGTACACCAATCAAGTGTAGATTTGGTCTTTTCACATAGTCCTGGATTTCCTGCAGGCCTTTTTCATTCCTTTTCATTCTTTTTTCTCGCTTTATTTCATTAAGTTGATCTTTAATCTCTCATATCCTTTATTCCCCTTGATCGATTTGGCTACTAATACTCATGTATGCTTCACGAAGTTCTCACGCTGTGTTTTTCAGCTCCATCGGGTCATTTACATTCTTCTCTAAACTGGTTATTCTAGTTACCAATTTGTCTAACCTTTTTTCAAGATTCTTAGCTTCCTTGCATTGGGTTAGAACATGCTCCTTTAGCTCAGAGGAGTTTGTTATTACCCACCTTCTGAAGCCTACTTATGTCAATTCATCAAACTCATTCTCCATCCCATTTTGTTCCCTTGCTGTTGAGGAGTTGTGATCCTTTGGAGAAGAGGTGTTCTGGGATTTGGAATACTTAGTATTTTTGCACTGGTTTCTCCCCATCTTCATGGATTTATCTACCTTTGGTTTTTGTTGGTGGTGATCTTCTGATGGGGTTTTGAGTGGATATGCTATTCCTTTTTGTTAGTTTTCCTTCTAACAGGCCCCTCTGCTGTGGGTCTGCTGGAGTTTGTTAGCGGTCCACTCCAGACCCTGTTTGCCTAGGTTATCACTAGCGGAGGCTGCAGAACAGCAAAGATTGCTGCCTGTTCTTTTTTCTTGAATCTTCATCCCAGAGGGGCACATGCCAGATGCCAGTTGGAGCTCTAATGCATGAGGTGTCTGTTGGCCCCACCTGGGAGTTGTCTTCCAGTCAGAATACATGAGAGTCAAGGACTAACTTGAAGAGGCAGCCTGACCTTTAGCAAAGCTCAAACCTGTGCTGAGAGGTCTGTTGCTCTCTTCAGAGCCATTGGGCAGGGGCGTTTAAGTCTGTTGAAGCTGTGCCCACAGCCACCCCTTCCCCCTGGTGCTCTGTCCCAGAGAGATGAGGGTTTTATCTATAAGTCCCTGACTGGGGCTGCTGCCTTTTTTTCAGAGATGCCCTTCCCAGAGAGGAGATATCTAGAAAGGCAGTCTGGCCATAGCAGCCTAGCTGAGCTGCGGTGGGCTCCACCCAGTTCGAACTTCCTGGCTGCTTTGTTTACACCGTGAGGGTAATACCACCTACTCAAGCCTCAGCAATGGTGGACTCCCCTCCCACAACGAAGCTGGAGTATCCCAGGTTGATCTCAGACTGCTGCTGTGCTGGCAGCAACAATTTCAAGCCAGTGGATGTTAGTTTGCTGGGCTCCATGGGGTTAGGACCCACTGAACCAGACCACTTGGCTCCCTGGCTTCAGCCTCCTTTGCAGGGGGGTGAATAGTTCTGTCTCGCTGGCATTCCAGGCACCACTGGGGTATGGAAAAAAAAATCTTGCAGCTAGTTCAGTGTCTGCATGAATGGTCACCCAGAAACCCAGGGCCCTTGTGGGGTAGGCACTGGAGGGTATCTCCTGGTCTACGGGTTTTGAAGACCATGGGAAAAGTGCAGTGTCAGGGCTGGAGTGCATGGTTCCTCAGATTCAGTCCCTCATGGCTTCCCTTGGGTAGGGGAGAAAATTCCCCGACCCCTTGCACTTCCCAGGTGAGGTGACACCCCACCCTACTTTGGCTCACCCTCCATGGGCTGCACTCACTGTCCAACCATTCCCAGTGAGATGAACCTGGTACCTCAGTTGGAAATGCAGAAATCACCTGCCTTCTTTGTTGATCTTGCTGGGAGCTGCAGACTAGAGCTGTTCCTATTTGACCATCTTTCCAGCCATACCCTTTTTTCATGTTTTGGGGGATACTAATGGTTGCCTGAGAAAGGTAGGCTTCATGTGTATTAAGAAAGACCTTTCAGTGTTAATATACATTGTTTATGGGGGAATTAAAGCACTCCCAGCCCCATGGAGTCATTTGAAATTCTTAATTACGTATGTTGTGGGCATAAATTTATTAGGGCCTTCTCTCTTCTCCCTTTTCTTTGTCTTTATAAGTAGCAGAGGTCCTGAAGTTCATTCTGAACATTCAGTAATGGAATCATGGGGGGTGGTAAAAAAAAAAAAAAAAAAAACTTCATTAATTAAAAACTGTCATGGATAAGCTGTGTGAATGAGTGAAGTGTGACATACAGAATACCTTTAAACAACTGCTATTTTACTATTTTAAAACGCATACTTCATATACCACATCAAAGCAGCCTCAGATCCAATTGTCAAACAGATGTTTTGCAGCGGATTGTTGTTTTAATGAGCCAATAACTCATTCCCAACAAGCTTGGTTTGCATATCATCAGTGGTACTCAAAATATATTGGTACCTTTAACTGAGTTAAAGATGAATGCCCCAAAACCTTTAAGAGCCTCTTACTTCATAAATAGTGGAAATGTATTCTGTAACCCCAAATTACTGTAATCTTAAATTTGTGCTGTTTAATAAGGAATTATTATATATATTCTTACTTATTACTATAAACTTGGACTTAAGAAAAGCTCTTATTGCCAAAACTATTTTGGCCAAACATTTTTGTCATCTCACCACTGCCTAGGCTGCAGTGGAGTTCTTGTAGCTTCAAAGTGCTTCTTTTCACATCTTCTTTGATATGCTGACAGTTACCAGACTAAATAATCAAAAAAGTATTCATTAAATGAAAACAATTTCATTGTTGACACGTTCATATTACCCTGGTAGTATAAAGACATACATGTTTGATTTGTTAGTCCAATTAATGTATTATTTGTGTTCAATTAAAGGCTTTCTTTAAAGGCGATTGTTAACCATTATGATGACATGGATAAACAAACATCTATAAGATTATTAAAAGACCAGCTGTTCCTAATCAAGATGCATCATTCTCACTAGGTGTTTGTTTTTGTAAATGCTGGAGATTCTGGTTCCATTGATTTGCAGTGGCACCTCAGCATGTGCATTTTGAAAATACTTGCTCAGTATATTTTGTTGTGCACTCTGGTGAGGAACCACTTCCTCCTCCAGCAAACATTCATCATTTATATGCAGCAATGTAAACACATGTGAATGAGCAAATTGCCCACCTAAATCTCTGCACAAAAGGGTGTCTAATATATGCCAAATTATTTTGTTTTTACATCTGCCGTGATGCACGACACACATTGTTTTCACGTAGGCAATCCACATCTATGGATGTATTTACTGGATGTGTGATTTTGGATAAGTTTCTGTACCTCTCTGTGCCTTATTGCCTCTTCTGTAAAATGGGGATGAAAGCCTGATACTCAGTGTTTTTGTGAGGACTTAACAATATCATGTATGTGAAATAGTTAGAACTTTATCAGGCAGTTATTAAAGGTTCCATAAATGTTAGTGATATGGTTTGGCTGTGTCCCCACCCAAATCTCATCTTGAATTGTAGCTCCCATAATCCCCACATGTCATGGAAGGGACCTGGTGGGAGGTAATTGAATCACAGAGATGGGTTTTTCCCATGCTGTTCTCATGATAATGAATAAGTCTCATGAGATCTGACGGTTTCATAAAGGGCAGTTCCCCCGCACATGCTCTCTCTTGGCTGCTGCCATGTAAGATGTGCGTTTGCTCCTCCTTCACTCCCTGCCATGATTGTGAGGCCTCCCCAGCCATGTGGAACTGTTAGTCCATTAAACTTCTTTTTCTTTATAAATGACCCAGTCTTGGATATGTCTTTATTAGCAGCATGAGAACAAACTAATAAGTTAGTTATTATAGTTGTCACTGTGAATGCTGCTATCACAGTCACTGTGTCCATCCAGGACCCTGTTATAGCCAACTAGCCAACATGGCTACTATTTATTATTATTATTATTATTATTATTATTATTATTATTACTATTATTATTGTCTCTCACTCTCAAAAGGCTACCAGAAAGCAAGTGACTATGACTTTATAGTAGGAATAATGGTAAATCTAATTTATAAAGGCAAATTAGGCTTCATTCTTTGGAACTTTCATTTTATCAGTAACAGAATTACATGTACAGCTCAATTCAATGGACATTGAAGCATATCATACCACTAACTACAGTGGCTCATAAAATATATCACTAGTCTGTGAATTTTAAAGAAGGATGAATTTCTCCATTTTCCCTAAGTTAACTTCCTTCCTGAAAAACTATGTTATCAGTCAGCATCTATTTGGTCAGTAACTTCAAGTAAAATGTAGGAGATATCACATATGTGAATTAGTTAGAACTTTGTCAGGCAGTTATTAAAGGTTCCATAACTATTAGTGATATGCGAGGAGAGTATAATGAGTCAGTAACTAAAGAGGTGGAAAAATCACTTGCTGAATAAAATCAGTGTCTTCCTTGACATATTCACTTTTAATAATCTTGGGATTTGTTTCGGGTTTCGGAGTCGAATGATGCATCTGTGCCAAAGAGAAAAGCCTGGAGGTATGCAGTGCTCCCATCAGGGTGTATGTGTGTACATGCACACATGTGCATGAACATGGGTAAATAGAGGCAAGTGTTGTTTTGAGAGGGCCCAGCTAACTTGGGGTTTCAGCACCAGAGTGGCTAGCCACCCTGTCCTAAACAGGAAATGAAGGGGAGCTGAACGTGGATGTTTGCTGTATGCCTTTTATGGAACGCTTCTTTTGGCTGGAGGACAGCCTAATGCCCAGTTGTCCCACCTGTGACCAGGAGGGTCTCTCATATAGGGAGCTTGTTTATGCTGGCAGATGCCCTTGTGGCTCTTGTCTGACCCATGTCCAGTTTATGCCTGCCTGACCATAGCTCTGGCACTGGGAGCCCAGCCTTGTGTTCTCCCCAGTGTCCCAGGGAAAACCCAGCCTGGGATAGCCCCTGGTTCTTCAGATGGTGCAAATTCAATACACCACCACAACAGGAAGCAAGTTCAAAGATTTTTACTTACGGATCCTGAGCAAGGACAGCATAATGGGTCAGGGTGTGGTGCGGGGCAGCGCTTCGTCCCTGGGTTATGCAAGGAAGGACTGAACAGTCAGGCAGAGATGGAGAATGCATGGCAGCTAGTAGTTTGTACAAGGGAATAGGGTGTGTGTCACTTTAAGTTCCCAGGTAAATGCCTGAATGGTCCATTTAAAGGACACACTGGGAAAACGAGGAACCCAGTCAGGTAGGTGGCAGAGATGCTTCTGAGTTCTCATCATCTCTGGCCACCAGCATGAGCCATTTGGGTGTGGTATAGCACTGGAAATTGCATCAAGGATGACCGAGCCCTGCTTTTGGTATGAGAAAGTTAAACCTACATTTAAAATGGATGCCAAGGCAACATAAAATTATAAGAATTTACTGTATTTTAGAATAGCATCAGCTTTTATCTTTTCCTTAATCACACCTATCAGTCAGAATAGAATCTAAGGGTTGTTCATTGGTTTCCAAGTGTTTACCATTGTGAAGGTTTGAGACATGCTTTTTTTCATAGTCTATATTTTACATCCCACTGGTTGCTGGCAGGTTTTTTTTTTTTTTTCCCTTTAAAGCCACACACAACCTATTTATCAGACTAAGGATGTGAACAGTCTTTTTTAAATTTCCCATAAATGAAAGTTATCAGACTAAGGATGTGAACAGTCTTTTTTAAATTTCCCATAAATAAAAGTTATAACTTGCACTGGAGAAGATGCTTTCTTGCAAAAGGTCATTGAAATCTCAAGATGGTAAAAGTAGCTTGTTCTAGAAATATGGCTGCATAATGGTAACCACAGTTCAAACCTTGATCACTTGAGTTTTTTTTTTTCTTAAGTAAAATATCAAGCCCTGTTCTTGCTCCCTCTCAGAAAAGAACAATTTTCTTCTGTGAAAGGAATGTAAGTGAAAAGGGGAGAGGTGGGAAGCTATTTCATCTGAGAGAGACCTCTCACCCCCACTATATCATCCCCTGTGGAGTTTTTATTCCACCTTAGGGAAAAGCTTTTGTAAGATAATCAATTTTCTGTTAAAGCCAGGTAGATACTGGCAGGTGGGAAAACAGTCATGTGGTCTGTGGAAGGGTGGAAGGTTATGAACAATTTGCATTTTAGGCAGAGCAGCAGGAAACTCATAAAAGAAAAGCACCTTCAGAGATTTACAAGTAACATGTAAATACTTGGAAATTAATCACATACAAATCAAGTATAGAAGTGCTAAGCAACTGTATACTAAGTTGTAGACATAATTGGAGGCTCAAGTGAGATAACTTAGGCAGTGTTTCCCAAAAGTAGTGTAATGAAGGTTGTGAAAGTGAAGACTCCTGGGGTAATGTAGACGTGGGAGGAGCCTTTCTGTCCACACCTGTTGTCAACCCATTGCATCTGTCAGATTTGTTCACTCACTGGATGCTTGCTCTGCTTCTACATGTTAAAACAGATAAATAACATTATTGCATTTCAAAACCTTTCCTTTTTTGCTTATAGTGTCTTGCTCTTGACCTGAATTCCATTTGCAAATAACATGTCCATGTACTGATGATTAACATGGCCCGTCAGTGAATCTGGAGACTGGTCATGCTTCAAGAACAATACTGGAGATTTTTTTTTTTTTAATATTTGTCAATTCACTGGAAAAATTTAATAGAACCTTCCAGGGGTGTACAGTTTCGTTTGGATAAAGCATAGATACTTTTCACATACAAAATTAGTTTTAACAGTCACTTCCCCCACATTCACTTGGGCTTCTGACATCCAGTGGGGTTGAGGAAGATTTTATTTCCAAGAACAGATGGTTTTTCTGCACTTTCCATAATTGCATGCAACTGCATGAATTTCTTTTTTTTTTTTCTGCATTCAGATGCATGACCAATGGCTGGGTATTAGGAGTTTGACTTCCTTTACCCAAATGCCTCTTTAAAAATAACGATAATGACTTTCACAGATAGTCACTTATCCTTTGCACATACATGGTCTTCAAAATTGACTCCCTAAAAAGCCTCAAACTAACTTTGCCAAAATTAAGGAATTGAAGGATGAAATCACTTATAGACAGCTGGAGGCTTATTCACATCTGCTGGAATGTATATATATACACACACACACATTTTATAACTCTCTCTTTAGGAGACCCAAAAGAAATAAAGGATACTGTTTCCTTTCTCCAGTGAAGAGACTGACCCTTGTTACCCGTCTCTCCCTGCTCATCCTGCTCTTTGATCATCTTCTCTTCTCCTTTCTTCCTTTCCATTTCCTTTTCCATCTCCTTTCACCTTTTTCTTTCTCTCCTTACTTTGCTGAATGGTAGAGAATTCCTAGTCAACCCAGCCCAAATTCTTGAGACACAAAAAGACAGGGAAAATGCTGGGAGATAGAATGAATGGACAGCAGTGACATCATTGTCCTATTTCACATTTATTAGAAAGAATTTATTTTCTGACATGATGATTAAACATCCTTTCCACCTCTTTCTCTTTCCTTCCGTCCCTCTCTTGTTCTTTGAATTCTAATTCAATTACAATAAAATCCACACAGGATTTCTCTCTTCTCAATGACAGCAATTAAGACTTGAGGGAAGCTGGGTGCAGTGGCTCACGCCTGTAATCCCAGCACTTTGGGAGGCCGAGGCAGCTGGATCACGAGGTCAGGAGATGGAGACCATCCTGGCTAACACAGTGAAACCCCGTCTGTGCTAAAAATACAAAAAATTAGCCGGGCGTGGTGGCGGGCGCCTGTAGTCCCAGCTACTCGGGAGGCTGAGGCAGGAGAATGGCATGAACCCGGGAGGCGGAGCTTGCAGTGAGCCGAGATCGCGCCACTGCACTCCAGCCTGGGTGACAGAGTGAGACTCCGTCGTCTCAAGAAAAGAAAGAAAAGAAAAGAAAATAAAAGACTTGAGGGAAGTATTTTCCCTCTTTTTCTTCACAGACATTTCCATGAATTGATTCTTTACCTAGTCCTGAGATGTTTATAACATTCAGAACCAGAACAAACTAATAAACACCTGTAGATATTAGTATGAACTGGGTATGAAAGCTGCAGGATTTCTGCCTACTATTTTTGTGAAGAATGGTATTGATTATTGCTAATATTCTTTTTTACATTCGCCATCTTGGTGGGTTAGAGAATATTCTGCTGCCATGCTACCATCTACCCTCCACCCCAAATATTTCTAACCTAAGAATAATGCACATGCTTTGTGATTCTGGCATGGCTGGAGCTGTCTGTCTATTCTAATTTAGCAGAGAACCATTTTGCAAAATTTTTAAAATTATAACTGAGCCAGGGAAAAACTTCTCGTAGCTTTTTAGCATCACGGCTTTGATCGTGAAAGAGAAGCAGAAGCTAGAACTCAATGTTTGTTAGAAATACTCAACCACACATACAGTAACATTCTGCGTAGACAATCACTAAGATCTCAACCCTGGGCAATTTTTTTTAATACATTAAGGTTGTCTGCAGGACTGAGAAAATAAAATAGCTAAATCTAGGCAATAAATGCAGACACTGGCTTCCTGGGGATTTGGGCTACACAATTTTCTTTGCATTTTAGGTTTCTCGGTTACAGAGTGACTGACAATAATCATATTGACCTGCTTCCTGTAATGGTTGTAGTCATTGCCTAGTGGCTTTTCAACTGATAAATTAGTACCCTGCCAAGGAGAAACGACTGATGGAGTGTAACAATGAAAAAGCACTTTAGCAGTGACAATGCTCAGCAAAGAGCTTCCAGTTTATCTGGAGGAGAAAGAAATGTTCCTTCCTATTGAATAAAAACAACAAAGGTTCCTGCTTCCAGTGTTCCTGGTTCTTTCGTTCTGTGATGTCAATCTTTTGACATTTTAATTGGAAGTTTCATTTTGTGTAAGATTTAAAGGAGAATTTAGCTTCCAACCCCAACTTGTTAATTGAATAAATGTCAACTTCTTGACTCAATTCATTTTATACTTTAAAAAAACGTATGCCAAATATTTATTTTGTTGCCTACCAAATAGGCAATAACTAGCCTTTGAAACATGCAGAGGATTACAGTGTTTGCCCCACCTCTGAGGTTGAACAGCTGTGTCTGTTGTTCCGAGATGTCCAGCTTGCAAGGATCCAGTGTCATCAACCAGAGTAGGAATCTCTCCTTCCCCTTTACCGTAGCAGCTCCGATGCTCTATGTGGTTGTACCTCAGTGTTCCCTGTCTTGATTGAGAAATCATCAAGGGCACCAAATATATTTCTAACAGTCCCTGCTAGACATTTATAATCTCTTCTTTCTTGACGTATATTACTTCTGGACGAGATCTTCACCACCAAAATGAGCAAAGGAAAGGAGAGTGAAATGTTCCTAAGTCAGAATCAACTGCTGTGACTGTGTGTGCATCAATTTATCTGCAGTGTTCACGAGCATCTCACTTCACATATCCAACTCAGGACCTCTGGACAAAACTTAAATATTCACAATGAATATTTTCCTCAAAACATTATGTTAATTTTTATAATATAGGAAACTTAAAGAGAAACATACATTGCAAATTCAACCACTTTAATACTATTTTTTTTTTCTGTTCCCACAGGTACATATACTTCTATATAGCTGTAAATAGATGATATGGTTTGTGTCCCCACCCAAATCTCATATTGTAGCTCCCATAATTCGTGGGAGGGCGGGTCTTTCCCATGCTGTTCTCATGGTAGTGAATAAGTCTCACGAGATCTGATGGTTTTATAAAGGGGAGTTCCCCTGCACATGCTCTTGCCTGCTGCCATGTAAGACATGCCTTTCTCCTCCTCTGCCTTGTGCCATGATTGTGTGGAATCCCCAGCCATGTGCAACTATGAGTCCATTAAATGCCTTTTTCTTTATAAATTACCTAGTCTCAGGTATGTCTTTATTAGCAGCGTAAGAACAGACTAATAGATTATACCTAGAATGCACAAAATTATCTATTAAAATATTTTATGATTTACAATGCAGTAAATATTATTGTACCAACTTAAAAATACTGATAAAAAAAGATAATATAAGTCCCCATATGCTGCCATTGTTTACTTTTGTCTTAAAAAGCAATCATATTGTATCTAGTATCTTATAATCTCCTGTTTACACTTTAGTCATGAAATAAACTTTTTTTAATTATTATTTTTTGAGATGGATTCTCACTCTGTTGCTCAGGCTGGAGTGCAGTGGCTCGATCAAAGCTCACTGCAACCTCCATCTCCCGGATTCAAGCAATTCTCCTGCCTCAGCCTCCAGAGTAGCTGGGACTACAGGCGTGTGCAACCACACCCGGCTAGTTTTTGTATTTTTAGTAGAGGTGGTGTTTCACCATGTTGGCCAGGCTGGTCTCAAACTCCTGACCTCATGATCCACCTGCCTCAGGCTCCCAAAGTGCTGGGATTACAGGCGAGAGCCACCACACTCGGCCAAAATACACATTTTCCAGTGTCAATAAAGTTATCTATAAAATCATGAAAGGCTCAATAACATATTCACTTACATGGACATATTGTCATTTATTTAACCACATCCTAGGGGCCATTTAGTTTGTTTCCAATTTTCTGCCCTTCTAACATGCACCTGTTATCTCAGGAATGTTATGTTGAACAACTCAGTGATGGTTGAGTTAGGGGTGTGATCTCTCTAGGTCTTGACTTCTCCTTTAATATGAGAGATTTCAAATAGTTATTTCTAAATATTAACTTCTGATTCTAAAAGCCTGTGGGCCATCTGCCTAGAATCCCAATGCTTTGAGAGGCTGAGGTGGGAAAGTCACTTGAGCCCAGGAGTTTGAGACCAGCCTAGGCAACATAATGAGTCCCCTCTCTCTAAAAAGAAAATAGACAAAAATTAATTAGCCAGATGTGGTGGCACATGCCTGTGGTTCTGGCTACTTGGGAGGCTGAGGCAAGAGTATTGCTTGAGCCCAAGAGGTTGAGGCTGCAGTGAACCATGACTGTGTCACTGCATTTCAGCCTGGGTGACAAAGCAAGACCCTATCTATCTCAAAAAAAAATAAAAGGGAAAAAAAAAGAATTCAGCTAATATTTTTAATGAATTGCTAAAAGCAAGTGTTGTCTACCAAAAGAATATGCAGCCTCTCTGGAATATAGACACAAGGAGAAATAGCACCCAATCTTAGAGTTTTCTCCATGGACCTCACCAAGTTGTCACAAAAATAATTGGCAAAATTTCTATAAAAGCCATCTCCATTGCATAAACTTGGGGTTGAAGAATAGCAGCTGCTGCAGAAAAGGCATGAAATCCTACCTGGAGCTTTCTTCACGGTAAACTACTAGAGAAAGAACAAAGTCTGTTGACATTAAGCTACTGGTAGAAACCCATTGAAGCTGGGGGAAGGACACGGAAAGCCCTCCAACCCTGGAGGGTAGGGACAGATATACCCAGTGATTACAGACCTATGGGTGGAGGTCTGGGGCGGGATCACGGAGAAAGCCCCACCTCGGAGAACCGTACCCCACCTCGGAGAACCATAAACACAGTGGCTGCCTAACAGTAAAGCTTAATCAGAAAAACAAAGATTTTTCTATAACAAATTCATAGCATTTTCTTGCCAGAAAAGGAGCAAACACATTACTAGACCACCATTGAGGTGCAGTGCAAAGGAGAGACCTAACCTGAGGGTGGAGCAGACACTGACAACACACACCTTGCAAACCGTGTCTCACCCTAAACACAAGGTCAACACTAGGGTTATTTGAAATCCTTGATTCACTAAAGGTAATCACAGCAGCAACAAATCCCAAACCCAACTGAAATCTTAACTAGATGACTTTTACCTTTCTATATCCAACACCTAGAAGAAAGAAATATATTCTTATTATCAAGCATAAAAAAATTTGCGTTCGTCTATACTGTCTTATACAAGATGTCCATCTTTCCTTAAAGTCATGGGGCGTATCAATATATTAAGAAAAACACAAAGCAATTAGCACAACTAGACTCAAATATGAAACAGATATTGAAACTAGCATCCAAGAAACTTAAACTACAATATATTAAAAGATTTTAATAGCAGAGGTGGATAACATGCTAAAACTGATGCTTAATTTTAGTAGAGATTTAAAACATATGAGAAAGGATTAAATGGAAATGCAACAAATGGAAAAGAAAATAAAGATTTTCTCTCAATAGGTTCGTCAGTAGAGTGGGCACAGTTGAGGGAAGAATCAAAAAACTTGAAGGTAGGTCAATAGAAATGACTCAAACTGAAAGGACAAAGAAAAAATAGGAGACTGATGGCAAGACGGCTGAATAGGAACAGCTGCAGTCTGCAGCTCCCAGTGAGATTGACACAGAAAGCGGGTGATTTCTGCATTTCCAACTGAGTTACCTGTTTCATCTCACTGGGATTGGTTGGACAGTGGGTGCAGCCCATGGAGGGTGAGCTGAAGCAGGGTGGGGCATTGCCTCACCCGGGAAGTGCAAGAGGTTGGGGAATTTTCTCCCCTACCGAAGGTAAGCTGTGGGGGACTGAGCCTGAGGAACCATGCACTCTGGCCCAGATACTGTGGTTTTCCCATGCATGGTCTTCGCAACCCGCAGACCAGGAGATTCCCTCTGGTGCCTACCCCACCAGGGCCCTGGGTTTCAAGCAGAAACCTGGGTAGCCATTCCAGCAGACACTGAACCAGCTGCAGGAGACTTTTTTTCTATACCCCAGTGGTGCCTGGGAGGCCAGCGAGACAGAACTCTTGACTCCCCTGGAAAGGAGGCTGAAGCCAGGGAGCCAAGTGGTCTGGTTCAGCGGGTCCCACACCAACAAAACCCAGCAAACTAAGATCTAATGCCTTGAAATTCTCACTGCCAGCATACCAGGAGGCTCAGATCCACCTGGGATGCTTGAGCTTGGTGGGGGAAGGGGCGTCTGCCATTGCTGAGGCTTGATTAGGTGGTTTTACCCTCATGGTGTAAACAAACAAAGCTGTCCAGAAGTTTGAACTGGGCGGAGCCCACCAGAGCTCAGGAAGGCCGCTGTGGCCAGACTGCCAGATTTCTCCTCTGGGAAGGGCATCTCTGAAAAAAAGGCAACAGTCCCAGTCAGGAACTTATAGATAAAACTCCCCTGGGACAGGGCACCTGGGGGAAGGGACAGCTGTGGGCACAGCTTCAGCAGACTTAAACATCCCTGCCTGACAGCTCTGAAGAGAGCAGCAGATCCCCCAGCACAGCGTTGGAGCTTTGCTAAGGGTCAGACTGCCTCCTCAAGTAGGTCCCTGACCGCCATGTATCCTGACTGGGAGACACCTCCCAGACACCTCATCCAGGAGAGCTCCAACTGGCAGGTGGCCTTTAGAGACGAAGCTTCCAGAGGAAAGAACAGGCAGCAATCTTTGCTGTTCTGCAGCCTCTGCTGGTGATACCCAGGCAAACAGGGTCTGGAGTGGACCTCCAGCAAACTCCAGCAGACCTGCAGCAGAGGGGCCTGTTAGAAGTAAAACTAACCAACAGAAAGGAATAGCATGTCCACTCAGAGACCCCATCCAAAGGTCACCAACATCAAAGACCAAAGTTAGATAAATCCACCAAGTTTGGAAGAAACCAGTCCAAAAAGGCTGAGAATTCCAAAAACCAGAACACCTCTTCTCCTCCAAAGGAACACAACTCCTAAACAGCAAGGGAGCAAAACTGGACAGAGAATGAGCTTGATGAACTGACATAAGTAGGCTTCAGAAGGTGGGTAATAACAAACTTCTCCGAGCTAAAGGAGCATGTTCTAACCCAATGCAAGGAAGCTAAGAACCTTGAGAAAAGGTTAGACGAATTGCTAACTAGAATATCCAGTTTAGAGAAGAACATAGATGACCTGATGGAGCTGAAAAACATAGCACGAGAACTTTGTGAAGCATACACAGTATCAATAGCCGAATTGATCAATTGGAAGTAAAGATATCAGAGATTGAAGATCAACTTAATGAAATAAAGCTAGAAGACAATATTACAGAAAAAAGAATGAAAGGGAATGAACAAAGCCTCCAAGAAATATGGAACTATGTGAAAAGACCAAATCTACGTTTGATTGGTGTGCCTGAAAGTGACGGGGAGAATGGAACCAAGTTGGAAAACACTCTTCAGGTTATCATCCAGGAGAACTTCCCCAGCCTAGCAAGACAGGCCAACATTCAAATTCAGGAAATGCAGAGACCACCACAAAGATACTCCTCAAGCAGAGCAAACACAAGACACATAATTGTCACATTCAACCAAGGTTGAAGTGAAGTAAAAAATGTTAAGGGCAGCCAGAGAGAAAAGTTGGGTTACCCACAAAGGGAAGCCCATCAGACTAACAGCATATCTCTCTGCAGAAACCCTACAAGCCAGAAGAGAGTAGGGGCTAATATTCTACATTCTTAAAGAAAATAATTTTCAACCCAGAATTTCATATCCAGCCAAACTAAGCTTCATAAGCAAGGGAGAAATAAAATCCTTTACAGACAAGCAAATGCTGAGAGATTTTATCACCACCAGGCCTGCCTTACAGGAGCTCCTGCAAGAAGCACTAAACAAGGAAAGGAACACCCAGTACCAGCCACTGCAAAAACATACCAAATTGTAAAGACCATTGACACTATGAAGACATTGCATCAACTAATGGGCAAACTAACCAGCTAGCATCATAATGACAGGATCAAATTCACACATAACAATATTAACTTTAAATGTAAATGGGCTAAATGCCCCAATTAAAAGACACAGACTGGCAAATTGGATAAAGAGTCAAGACCTATCAGTCTGCTGTATTCAGGAGACCCATCTCACATACAAAGACACACATAGGCTCAAAATAAAGGGATGGAGGAATATTTACCAAGTAAATGGAAAGCAAAAAAAGAGCAGGAGTTGCAATCCTAATCTCTAATAAAACAGACTTTAAACCAACAAAGATCAAAAGAGACAAAGAGGGGCATTACATAATGGTAAAGGGATCAATGCAACAAGAAGAGCTAACTGTCCTAAACGTATATGCACCCAATACAGGAACACCCAGATGCATAAAGCAAGTTCTTAGAAACCTACAAAGAGACTTAGACTCCCACACAATAATAGTGGGAAACTTTAACATCCAACTGTCAAAATTAGACAGATCAATGAGACAGAAAATTAACAAGGATATTCAGGACTTGAACTCAGCTCTGGACCAAGCAGACCTAATTAGACATCTACAGAACTCTCCACCCAAATCAACAGAATATACATGCTTCTCAGCACCTCATCGCACTTATTCTAAAATTGACCACATAAATGGAATGAAAACACTCCTCAGCAAATGCAAAAGAATGGAAATCCTAATAAACAGTCTCTCAGACAACACTGCAATCAAATTAGGACTCAGGATTAAGAAACTTACTCAAAACCACACAATTACATAGAAACTGAATAACCTGCTCCTGAGTGACTACTGGGTAAATAATGAAATGAAGGCAGAAATAAAGATGGTCTTGGAAACCAATGAGAACAAAGACACAATGTACCAGAATCTCTGGGACAAATTGAAAGCAGTGTGGAGAGGGAAATTTATAGCACTAAATGCCCACAAGAGAAAGCAGGAAAGATCTAAAATTGACACCCTAACATCACAATTAAAAGAACTAGAGAAGCAAGAGCAAACAAATTCAAAAGCTAGCAGAAGACAAGAAATAACTATGATCAAAGCAGAACTGAAGGAGATAGAGACACGAAAAACTCTTCAAATAAATCAATGAATCCAGGATCTGGTTTTTTTGAAAAGATCAGCAAAATAGATAAACTACTAGCCAGACTAATAAAGCAGAAAAGAGAAGAATCAAATAGACACACAAAAAAAATTATACAGGGGATATCACCACGGATCTCAAAGAAATATAAGTTACCATCAGAGAATACTATAAACAGCTCTACGCAAATAATAAAGTAGAAAATCTAGAAGAAATGGATAAATTGCTGGACACATACACCCTCCCAAGTCTAAACTAGGAAGAAGCCAAATCCCTGAATAGATCAATAACAAGTTCTGAAATTGAGGCAATAATTAATAGCCTACCCACCAAAAAATGTCCAGGACCAGATGGATTCACAAGTGAATTCTACCAGAGGTAAAAAGAGGAGCTGGTACCATTCCTTCTGAAACTATTCCAAACAGTAGAAAAAGAGGGAATCCTCCGTAACTCATTTTATGAGGCCAGTATCATCCTTATACCAAAACCTGACAGAGACAAAACAAAAAAATGAAAATTTCAGGCCAATATTACTGATGAACATCGAGGTGAAAATCCTCAATAGAATACTGGCAAACCGAATCCAGCAGCACATCAAAAAGCTTATCCACCATGACCAAGTGAGCTTCATCCCTGAGATGCAAGACTGGTTCAACATACACAAATCAATAAATGTAATCCATTACATAAACAGAACCAATGACAGAAACCACATGATTATCTCAATAGATGCAGAAAAAGCCTTTGACAAAATTCAACACCCCTTCGTGCTAAAAAACTGTTAATAAACTGGGTATTGACGGAAAGTATCTCAAAATAATAAGAGCTATTTATGACAAACCCACAGCCAATATCATTCTGAATGGGCAAAAACTGGAAGCATTCCCTTTGAAAACTGGCATAATACAAGAATGCCCTCACTCACCACTCCTATTCAACATAGTATTGGAAGTCCTGGCCAGGGCAATCAGGCAAGAAAAGAAATAAGGGTATTCAAATAGGAAGAGAGGAAGTCCAATTGTCTCTGTTTACAGATGACATGATTGTATCTTTGGAAAACCCCATCTTCTCAGCCCAAAATCTCCTTAAGCTGATAAGCAACTTCTGCAAAGTCTCAGGATACAAAATTAATGTGCAAAAATCACAAGAATTCTTATACACCAATAACAGACAAACAGCCAAATCATGAGTGAACTCCCATTCACAATTGCTTCAAAGAGAATTAAATACCTGGGAATACAACTTACAAGGGATGTAAAGGACCTCTTCAAGGAGAACTACAAACCACTGCTCAAGGAAATAAGAGAGGACACAAACAAATGGAAAAACATCCCATGCTCATGGATAGGAAGAATCAATATCATGAAAATGGCCATACTGCCCAAAGTAATTTATAGATTCAATGCTATCCCCATCAATCTTGACTTTCTTCACCAAATTGGAAAAAACTACTTTAAACTTCATATGGAACCAAAAAAGAGCCCACATAGCCAAGATAACCCTAAGCAAAAAGAATAAAGCTGGAGGCATCAGGCTACCTGACTTCAAACTATACTACAAGGCTACAGTAACCAAAACAGCATGGTACTGGTACCAAAACAGAGATATAGACCAATGGAACAGAACAGAGGCCTCAGAAATAATACCACACATCTACAACCCTCTGATCTGTGACAAACCTGACACAAACAAGCAATGGGGAAAGGATTCCCTATTTAATAAATGGTGCTGGGAAAACTGGCTAGCCATATATGTAGAAAACTGAAACTGGACCCCTTCCTTACACCTTATACAAATATTAACTCCAGATGGATTAAAGAGTTAAACATAAGACCTAAAACCATAAAAACCCTAGAAGAAAACCTAGGCGATACCATTCAGGACATAGGCATGGGCAAAGACTTCATGTCTAAAACACCAAAAGCAATGGAAACAAAAGCCAAAATTGACAAATGGGATCTAATTAAACTAAAGAGCTCCTGCACAGCAAAAGAAACTATCATCAGAGTGAACAGGCAGCCTACAGAATGGGAGAAAATTTTTGCAATCTATCCATCTGACAAAGGGCTAATATCCAGAATCTACAAAGAATTTCCACAAATTTACAAGAAAAAAAAACCATCAAAAAGTAGACAAAGGATATGAACAGACACTTCTCAAAAGAATACATCTATGCAGACAACAAACATATGAATAAATGCTCATCATCACTGGTCATTAGAGAAATACAAATCAAAACCACAATGAGATACCATCTCACACCAGTTAGAATGGTAATCATTAAAAAGTCAGGAAACAACAGATGCTGGAGAGGATGTGGAGAAATAGGAACACTTTTACACTGTTGGTGGGAGTGTAAATTAGTTCAACCATTGTGGAAGACAGTGTGGCGATTCCTCAAGGATCTAGAACAAGAAATACCATTTAACCCAGCAATCCCATTACTGGATATATACCCAAAGGATTATAAATCATTCCACTATAAAGACACATGCACACGTATGTTTATTGTGGCACTATTCACCATAACAAAGACTTGGAACCAACCCAAATGTCCATCAGTGATAGACTGGTTAAAGAAAATGTGACACATATACACCATGGAATACTACGCAGCCACAAAAAAAGGATGAGTTCATGTCCTTTGCAGGCACATGGATGAAGCTGGAAACCATCATTCTCAACAAACTAACACAAGAACAGAAAACCAAACATCACATGTTCTCACTCATAACTTGGAGTTGAACAATGAGAACACATGGACACAAGGAGGGAAACATCACACACTGGGGCCTGTTAGGGGGTAGGGGGCTAGGGGAGGGATAGCATTAGGAGAAATACCTAATGTAGGTGTCAGGTTGATGGGTGCACCAAACCACCATGGCACATGTATACCTATGTAACAATACTGCACATTCTGTACATGTATCCCAGAACTTAAAGTGTAATAAGAAAAAAAATAGGGACATTATCCTAATTATACAGATGGGTCCAATGGAACCACAGGGGTTCTTAAAACTGGGAGAGGGAATTAGACAAAAAGGACCAGAGAAATGGCAGCATGAGAACTGAACCCACTACTGCTGACTTTGAAGATGGAGGAAGAGGCCATGCGACAGGGAAGGTGAGCAGCCTCTAGAACCCAGAAACGGCAAGAAAACGGATTATCCCCTAGAGCCTCCAGAAATGAGTTCCATTCTGCTGACACCTTGATTTTATCCCAGGGAGATGAGTCTTGAACTTTTGAACCACAAACTGCATGATAATAAATTTTTGTACCTTTGCAGCACTGAAAAAAAAAAAAGTTCTACATATTGAATGTGTGAATGTCAATATTCTAGGTGTGGATTTTATACTATAGATTTTCAAGTTGTTACCACTGGGAGAAACTGGGTAAAAAGTACAAGGAATCTCTCTGTGCTGTTTCTTACAGCTTCCTGTGAGTCTAAAATTATCTCAAAATAAAACATTTAATTTGAAAAGAAAAAGAAAAAAATACAAGAACAGAATTCAAAGCTGAAAGACAATGTAAAAAGGATTAAAATTTATGTACTTGAGTAATTTATGTAACTGAGAAGAAATGTCTGAATAGCCTAGAATGTTCCAAAAATTAATGATGGACAGCAAACCATAGATCCAAGAAGCTCAGAAACCATCAAGCATTAGAATACACAAAGCAAACAAGTAAGGAAACAAATACTAGGCATATTCAAACTGCGGAAAACCAAAGATCCAAAGACAAACAGGAAAACTGAAAAAATATATTACATATAGGAATATTGACAAGAGTTAGAGGAGCCTACTTTTGGGATGCTCTGCAAACCAGAAAACAATGAAATGATATCTTTAGAGTGCTGGGGGAAAAAACTCCGTGTCCACCCCAAATTTTATAATTGGTGAAAAACTCTTCCAAAATTAGAAAAAAAGTTATGAGGGAGAAAACAAAAATTTTCTCTAAGAAAAATTAAGAAACTGTATTACCAACAGAGCTGCACTACATAAGATGTTAAAGGAAGTTCCTTAGGCATAAAGAATATGATCACAGAAAGAAGCTTGAATGTTAAAATGAAGAGCACTGGAAACAGAATAAATGAAAGTAAATATTTTTATTTTAATTGTTATAAAAGATAACCGATGTCTATAGGAAAACATAACAATATATTGTATGTTTTAGAATACATAAAAGTAAAATATGACAATAATACCAAGGATGGGAGGGAGGAATTGAAAGTATATTGTTGTGAGGTCCTTATATTATATATAAAGTGGTATGTATTATTTGAAGGGACTCTGATTAATTAAAAATCTATATTGTAAAGTCTAGGGCAACAACTCAAACCACTAAAAATTTTAAATAATGCATAAAGAATGAGCTGAGGATAGAGACAGAAATGGAATAATGAACAATATACTAAATCTAAATGAAGGGAGAAAAACCTTAAAAAGAAACAACAAATAGATGAGGAAAAATGGAAGAGAGTCCTCAAAATAGTACATTTTAATCTAATCATGTCATTAATACATTAAACATAATTGGTGTAAACATACATAAAAGAAAAAGATTGACAGATTGGATAAAAAAGCGAGGCCCAACTATGCATGGTCCACAAAAAAGCCACTTTAAATATAAATAGGCTAAAAATGAAAAGATTCTAAAAATTTATTATGCTACCACTTGTCGAAAGAAAGTTGGAATAGCTATAACAGTATCAAAATAGACTTCAGAAAAGTGACTAGACTATTACCAGAAATAAAGAGCAACATTACATGATGATAAAAGGGTCATTTCTCCAAGAATCCATAATAATCCTAAATGTATATGCATCTAAAAAGAGAGCTTTAAAATATATAAAGCAAAAACAAATAATAGTATAAGGAGAAATAAACAAACCCACAATTATAACTGAAGACTTCACCATTCAGTTTATAGTAATTGATAGCAAGTAGAGAGAAAATCAGTAAGGATATAGAAAACTTGAAAACACTGTCAACAACTTGACCTAACCAATGTTTATAGAACACTGTATCCCAAAACAGTACAACAGATATTATATTTAAGCACATATGGAACATATCTCAAGAGAGCCAATATTGTTGGTCATAAAATGTTATACATTTCAAAAATTGAAATTATAAAAAGTAAGTACTTATAATGAATACAATCTGTGAATATATGAATAAAAAACTAGAAATCAATAAAAAAATCTGGACAATATCCCATATATTGATTGTGTGAAGAGGAAATCTTAGGGAAATTGAATATTTTGATTTGAGTGAAGATAAAAATAGAGCATATCAAAAATTTTGGTTGCAACTAAAGCAGTGCCTTGAAAGAAGTTTATAACACAAGATGCTTATGTTAGGATGAAGGTCTCAATAATAAAATAAAAATCTAGTTCTTGAACAAATTAACACTGTTGACAAACATATAGCCAGACTGACCAAAGAAAAAGGAGAGAAGACACAAATCATAAATATCAGGAATACAAGAAGGGACATCACTACAGACCCTAAGGACATTATAAAAATAAGAGGAGAAACCATGAATAACTCTATGGCCATAACTTTGATGATTTAGATGAAACAGATAAATTTTTTCAAAGACATCAACTACTAAATCTGTGTGTGTGTGTGTGTGTGTGTGTGTATGTGTATAAAACTTAAGTCTTCTGAAGGAACTGAATATGTAGTAAATACTTCCTATTAAAAAATACTCCAGGTTCAGATGGTTTCACTGATGAATTCTAAATATTTAAGGAAGAAACAGTAACAATTCTCCACAAACTCTTCCAGAATATTAAAAAAAAAAAGTAAAACACTTTCCAACTCATCTTATGATGCCAGCATTTCCCAAATACCAAAATGAGACAAACACATTATAAGAAAGATGAGTATCTGTCATAAACATGGATGGGAAGTTCTCAATAACATACTAGCAAATTAAATGCAACAATGTATAAAAAATGATCAAGTAGAGTTTATCTCAGGAATGCAAGGCTAGTTCAGTATTGAACAATCAGTGTAAAATACTGTATCAAAAGACTAAAGAAGCAAACCCGTAAAATTATCACATTGAGTTCAAATAAAGACTCTGGCAAAATTCAACATTCATTTCTGGTATTCTCAGAAAACTAGAGTTAAAAGGAATCTTTGTTGACCTGATAAAGAGCGTCTGCGTAAAACCTACAGCTAGCATTATATTTAATAGAAAAAGACTAAATGCTTTCCCCTTAAGGTCAGCAACAACGTTCTCACTAATCCTATTGCACATTGTACTGGAAGTCATAGCTAGTGTAGTAAGGCAAGAAAAAGAAATAAAAGGCATAGACTTGGAAAGGATGAAATAAAACTCTCTCTATTTGCAGATGACATGATTATGTAAAAATTCCCAAAGAATCTATTAAAAAGTTACTAAAACTAAGTATGTTTAGAACAGTTTTATGATATAAGATCAGTATACAAAAATTAATGTTTCTGTATGTAGAAATGTTATGTTTTCTATATACAGTGTTTCTATAGACAAAAATCAATGTTCCCAACCAATAGCATGAGCAATTAGAAATTTAAAAGACAGTATTATTTACAATAATATCAAAACTATGAAATATTTAGGTATGAATCTTACAAAGTATGTAAAGAACTACAAAGCACTCATCAAATGAATTTTAAAAAGACTTTAAAATGGAGATATTATATTGTATTTGTCATTTAGAAAATGCTATATTGTTATAATGTTACTTACCCTCAAACTGAGCAATAGGTTCAATGCAATTCCAACTAAAATCCCCTCAGGACTTTCACAAAAATTGACAAATGGATTCTAACATTTATTTAGAAAGGGCAAAGAATTAGAACAGCTACAACAATTTTGAAATAGAAGAAGAAAGGCAGAGGACTCATACTACCTGATTTTCTGACCTACTATACTAAGTTTAGACAGTGTCATACTATAGAAAGAATAGGCATATGGACCAATGAAAGCAAATAGAGTCCAGAAATAGACCAACACATATATGGCCAATTGATTTTTAACAAAGGTGCAAAGCCGATTAATTTTCAACAAGTGTTACTAGAACAATTGGATATACATATGCAAGAAAATGATCTAGATTCATACTTTATGCAAAAATCGATTCAAAATGGACCATAGACTTAAATATAAGTACTAAAACTATATAATTTCCAGAAGAAAACAAAGAGAAAAATATTTGTGATCATGGCTTAGGCAAAGATTTCTTAGCTTAAAATTTTCAAAACATGATCTATAAGGGAAAGGATGGATACATTGAATTTTATCAAAATTAAGTACTGTTTGTTGGAATAAATTGCTGAGAAAATGAAAATAAAAGCCAAAGGTTGAGCAGCAATATTTGTAAATCACATCTCTAGTCAAGGGTTTGTATCCAGAATATGTAAGATTCTCCAACTCAATGAAACTCTCAAAATTTAATAGGAAAAGAGACAGTCCAATAAAACTGTGCCAAATATGTGAACAGACACATCCCACATAGACAGCAAGTCAGTATATAAATACCTTCAACAAAATTAGTCATTAAAGAAATGCAAATTAAAACCACAATGTGGCACCAATGCACAGCTATTAGAATAACTAAAATATTCAAAACATAAAAAAATTAAAATACCAAGTTCCAGCAAGTATACAAAGCAACTTAAACTCACATATACCTGCTGGTGGAAATGGAAATGGTGCAGACACACTGGAAAAGTTTGGCAAATTCTTAAGAAGTTAAACATATACTTACTGTATGACCCAGCAATCTCACTGCTTTGCATTTACTCAAGTGAAATGAAAACTACATCCTCACGAAAATATGCACATGAATGTTTGCAGCAGCTTTATCTGTCATCACCAGGAACTAAAAACTACCCAAATGTTTCTCAACTGGAGAATGGATAAACAAACTGGTACATTCCATACAATAAAATCCTTACTCAGCAATAAAAAGAAACAAACTACTGTTTTGCACAACAGCATGAATGGATCTCACATGCATTATGCTAGCTGAAAGAAGCAGGATACCAAGGGCTACCTACTCCATGACTCAGTTTATACGACATTCTTAAGAAAGCCAAACTACAGGAAGAAAAACAGATTAGTGGTTGCCAAGGGCTGCGGTTTGAAGAGGGGATGGTTACAAAAGAGGCATGGGGGAATTTTAGGGGCCGATGGCACTGTTGTGTATCTTGATTGTGGTGGTGGTTACATAACTGTATTTCAAAATTCTAAGAACTGTGTGCTTAAAAGGGTGAAATTTACTATATGTCAATTGTACCTCAATATAAATGGAAAATAAAATTTTCTTAAAACCTGTGGTTTTCTAATGGTAATGGATTTAAAAACTGTCACTCACCTAAACATTAGTTTTGAATACATGAACTGTTTAGCAATGCAGAGCCTCTGTTGGTTCTGAATTACCCAGCACAGAATTTTAGAAAAGGCTTCCTGTGAGTCCGTGATTCCCATGGAGAAAATGAAACCAGTAACAGGACAAAAGGTGGCTGGTTTTTAGCATTCTCTTGCACTAAGCTTGAGTAACCTCAGTGAATATCGACGAGCTGCTCTTATAAATTACTCCATGTTTCTTCCACAGCTCTTGCTGTCATTTTAATATAAGAACTTTTTAATATATAGAATCTTTGTTTTTCTGAGTCATAAAAATAACTCTAGAAAAAGCATCTGAAGTGTTCCTGTTAGTGCTTATAAAATTGTGGCATTCTATAAAAATTTCTTCAAGTGTATGGCATGCTGTGAAAAAAACCTAAAATTATTTGAGAAGGGGAAATTGAAGCCATCTCTCTTATAAAAATTAAGGTAGGGTTTTTTTAGGTAAATAGACTTTGATGTATTCACTATTACATTATCTGTATTTGTACTAATATAATGTATCAACAATAGAAAAATCACACTACCTTTTCATCTAAATGTTCAGGCATAGGCTACTTACTGGTTGTATTATCTTTTTATTAATTTACAAATTAAAAAGGTCATTTGGAATCAGGAAGTGAAGTCTACTGAATTGCTAAAAACTGAGTGAAGAGAAATGTTTAATGCCAGGAAGAAGAAAAGAAAGCGAACTGTGAGCAAAGGGTAACAACACACAAATAAGAAGTCTTTAAAAACTCACTTTCCCTTCTTGGCTTCACCTTTACTCTTGAGCTTGGTAAGCAACACTGATAATGATAACATCATGATCAATCAGCTTGATTGATGAATTCCTCTGGGACTCCCCACTTTCCATCTCTGACCCCTGCTCAACTTTAAGAACAGTCTCTTAGAAACACAGAAAACTTTCCTATGTACTTTTAAGTAAATTGGCAAATGACAGGGTGTGGTGGCTCACGCCTGTAATCCCAACACTTTGGGAGGCCAAGGCGAGTGGATCACTTGAGGCCAGGAGTTCGAGACCAGCCTGGCCAATGTGGCAAAACCCTGTCTCTACTAAAAATACAAAAATTAGCTGGGTGTGGTGCTGGTGTGCGCCTATAATCCCAGCTACTCAGGAGGCTGAGGCAAGAGAATCACTTAAACCCAGGAGGCGGAGGTTGCAGTGACACAAGATCATGCCACTGTACTCCAACCTGGGCAACAGGGCGAGACAGAAAAGTGGACTTTTCAATGCTCCTTTTATGAGACTTCCTGTTGGATGGGCCATGTTGCTGTCTTCTTGAAATTGTCCTCCATTTTTAAAAATTAAAAAAAAGTTCTTATCATCTATGACACTGAATCTTTGCATTCATCTCCTATCCTTTTCATTAGTTCTTCTTTGTCTCTTGTTGTGGGTTCTTAAATACTGAGTTCTTCCCTCAGATAATGGTGTTCCCTGGGATTTCATTCCCTTATTCAACATATATTTATCAAACATCCACGACATACTAGGTACTGGAAATACAGCAGTCAGTAAGACAAACAAGGTCATTGTCCTCAATGAGGGACATATATTAATAGACAAATGTGCTAATAACATCCTGAAGAGCCTACCTATTCTTCCTGAGGAAACTGTCTACTCTTGAAGTGACAGCCTTTATTTCTGTGAGATGGTTCTCAAGTTTATGTCACCATCTCTGATCCCTGCCTTGAACTCCTAGATCAGAGTCACCAACCCACCCAGGGGGATACAGAGCATAGCGGCTGAGGGTGTGGATCCTGGAGCTGCTCTGTGTTCACATTCTAGTACCATCCTTTACTAAGCATTTGGTGTTAACTGCTCTGGGCCTCAGTTGCACCATGTGTTAGCTGTGGGCTAATAATAGTTTTAATATCTACCTAACATAGTTGTTCTGAGGGCTCAGTGAGTTAATACATAGAAAACTTATAAAACAGTAAGAGCCCAAATTCTTGTTTACTCTTTCTACTATCATTAATATTCATATCACTGTTTAGAGTTCCCAAATGTACTACAACTCACCATGGCTGCATCAGATTCTCTATGTCCATTGTTCACTCAAGCCACCCACTTAAGAAACCCAGGAGTCAGCTTTGTCTCTTTCCATTCTCTTTATTTATTTATTTATTTTTGAGACAGGGTTTCACTCTGTCACCCAGGCTGGAGTACAGTGGCGCAATCTCAGCTCACTTCAACCTCTGCCTCCCAGGTTCAAGTGATCCTCCTGCCTCAGCCTCCTGAATAGCTGGGACCACAGGCACGTGCCACCACACCCAGCTAATTTTTGTATTTTTAGAAGAGATGGGGTTTCACCATGTTGGCCAGGTTGGTCTCAAACCCCTGACCTCAAGTGATCCTCCCGCCTCAGCCTCCCAAAGTGCTGGGATTACAGGCATGAGCCACGCACCTAACCTGTTTTCATTCTCTATCCCCACATACCCATTCATTCCCCAGGTGCTACCACAATTACCTCGTGTGTCTGTGGTTTGGGACTTCATTATCTCTTCCACACTCTGCTTCTAGTTTCTTTTCTTTCTAATTCAGCTTCAGAGAAATTGAGTAATGTTATTTCACTTAATACCCCAAGCTGACTTATGGTGTGAGGGCCAACCCAGCCTGCAGAAATTTTGGTTTGTTTAATAATATTTTAAAAAAAAAATAAAATTTGAGGCTGGGTGTGGTGGCTCCCAGCCTGCAGAAATTTTGGTTTGTTTAATAATATTTTTTAAAAAAATAAAATTTGAGGCTGGGTGTGGTGGCTCATACCTGTAATCCCAACATTTTGGGAGGCCAAGGTGGGCAGATCACTTAAGGCCAGGAATCAAGACCAGCCTGGTCAACACGGCAAAACTCCATCTCTACTAAAAATATAAAAATTAGCCAGGCGTGGTGGCGGGAGCCTGTAGTCTCAGCTACTTGAGAGGCTGAGGCATGAGAATCGCTACTTGAGAGGCTGAGGCATGAGAATCGCTTGAACCTGGCAGGGGAGGTTGTAGTGAGCCAAGATCGTGCCACTGCATTCCAGCCTGGGCAACAGATCAAGACTCTGACTCAAAAAAAAAGGAAAAAAAAAAGGAAAGAAATAAAATATAAAATTTGAATGTCGTCATTTGGGGCATATGCTTCCTGGTTCAGTATCAGCCCCCTCTAGTCATGTGTTTACATTGTATGTTTGTTCTGGTCCCTGAGGCAGCTACATTTCTGAGTCCTAAGATAAAGGACAATCACCCACTCCTTAATGTACTAGTCCTTGCCATCTGGAGCTGACCACTCACCAGGACTTTCCCTCCTCGGGGTTTATATTTCTGATATTTCTCACCTCCCGACCTTTATTTATGCTGTTTTTCTGCTGGGAATGTCCTCCTGACTCTGCCAGTTGAAACTATAAATACGGTTTTAAGATCCTTCAAGATTTGTTTGAAATTTTACCACTTCCATGAGGTGATTTCATATCCACTTAATTCACCAGTCATTCACCAATCAAACTATTAGCTATTTTAATCACAGAATACTTGGCAAAAGCCTATCTATGGACTCTCTCCTTAGAAACACACAGCTCTAGCAGGGTGCAGTGGCTCATCTCTGTAATCCCAGCACTTTGAGATGCTGAGGTAGGTGGATCATTTGAGGTCAGGAGTTCAAGACCAGCCTGGCCAGTATGGTGAAATCCCACCTTTACTAAAAATACAAAAAAAGAAAAAAGAAAAAAAGAAAAAAACATAGCTGGCGTCGTGGCAGGTGCCTGTAGTTCCAGCTACTTGTGAGGCTGAGGCAGGAGAATCGCTTGAACCTAGGAGATGGAGGTTGCAGTGAGCGGAGATGGCACCACTGTACTCCAGCCTGGGCAACCAAGGGAGACTCTGTCTCAAAAAGAGAGAGAGAAAAAAAAAAAAGAGGCCAGGCACGGTGGCTCATGCCTGTAATCCCAATACTTTGGGAGGCCGAGGCAGGCAGATCACTTGAGGTCAGGAGTTCAAGAGCAGCCTGGCCAACATGGTGAAACCCCATCTCTACTAAAAATCAGCCAACATGGTGGTGGGTGCCTGCAATTCCAGCTACTTGAGAGGCTGAGGCAGGAGAATCGCTTGAACATGGGAGGCAGAGGTACACTCCTGCCTGGGTAACATAGAGGGACTCTGTCAGACAGAGAGACAGAGAGATAGAGACAGAGAGAGAGAGAGAGAGAGAGAGAGAGAGAAAGACACAGCTCTACACCTTACAGCATTTGTACTCCACGCATGATCCAGAGGTTAAAAATCCTTTCTAGGGAAACATTAGTGTAAAGAAGTGGATAGCTATAGGTTCTTAGAAAACAGCCATCCTATTTAACGATTTCCCATTCAGTCCTTTTCTTAGCATTGGCAACACATCTTAGAATATATAAAGTATATGTGCTGATATAGGACAAAATTAAGTGGAAAAATAGGCAGTTGTAGAATATGTACGTTGCTCCCATTTGGAAATATACAAAGGGGAATATTTTGTACAGGCCACATGTAAGTCAGATAAATGTCTGCTCTTATCTATGTAGACTATTTGAGAAGGTTCATCAAAAAGCCATTAAGAAGGATTTCTTTTAGAAAGGCAAACAGAGAAGTCACCTCTTAACCATCCTACCATAGAAGGCTTTTCTCTTTTATACAGCACATATCATTTTACTTTTCAAAACCTTTTACAGCAGATAGTTCTGGAGTACAGGTGGCATTTATGCTCCCCACAAAAGAAAAAGCCTTAAGCTGTCCTCTGAGGAGATGAAGTCTTCATGAAGAGGAGGCCAAAACCTTTCTGCTGTTCCTCTCTCTCCCCTCTGTGTCATAGATCCCAGCTGGCAAGGAATATGCTGCTGTCCTTGTGATCCAGGCTTCTGGTCAGACTTGAGGACAGTGAGCACTCAGTGACTTTGTTGAATGAATATATGAGTGGATGAGCTGTCAATGAATGGGATGTGAAATAGATGTTATATATATTAATATAAAGAACCTAAGAAAGATCAAATCTGGAAGTGGAGATGCAAGATTATTGAGGAACTCACAAAATGTCAGAGGCAGCAGGTGGATTTCTGTAAACTACATATCTAGTCCTCCTTAAAAGCAGAATTCTGATTCATTCTAGGGGAGGCTGCTCCTGTACCTGCCTTGGCATTGCTCAGTCATAGCTTTCCCCTTCCCTTCTCCAAAATTTCTGCAGAGGCCCCACTTCCAGAATGAGGTCAGAGGAAGGAGAGATGTTGCTACTGAGAGCTTGCTTGCTTCATGTGAGCCTGTGGAGGCTGAGAACTACAGGATAAGTTTGCAAACTCACAAAACAGACGTAAAAACACATTCTGAAAATATCCTCTTTAGGGAATAGAAGGAATTAAAACTGCCTGAGGAAGAGGAGGAGGTCAAGACCAGTCCCCAAAGCACCCATCTATCTGATTAAGAAAGACAAGACGCGGACTTTTCAAAGTATTCAATGGAGTCAGAAATCAGATCAATGATAGAGGAGTTTCAGTGGAAAAGTAGGAGGAGTGGAGAACCAGGGACAAGGAGTCAAATTTTGGATGCCCCTTACAGAAGATGCAGTCGGAGAGGAAGATGGAAAATGTCATCGGGAGCCTGGCATTTTACAGCGGGTGGTTGCATTTGGAGTCTGTCCAATGGGACCTTGAAAGGAAACTCCCTGCAGGATTGTAATTCCAAACCAAGCAGGTTCTGACCATAGCAGTGAAAGGAGAACTTAGGCTGTGTTGCGTCTTCAGATCTGGATCTACAAAGACAAGTCATCTCTGTGAGAAAGGAAGGAGCCAGCTGTTCAGGGTGGGCAGTGCTGATAGCACTACCCAAGCCTCAGAGACACAGGGCAGCTCCTCACCCAGCACAGAGCCAAGGCCTTAGTGGAATGTTCACAGAAACCACAGAGGGACTTGGAATTGTGCTTCTCTCCTGACCACAAGGGCTCCACAGCTGACCTTCAATTCTGGTGGATCATTAAATACAGGAAAAGAAGATGACAGGAAAAGATGCCATCACCTGTGAGCTGTGGCTCCTCTTGGAGGCTCCCTCTGGAACTAACAGGAAGGAAGCATGTTCCCCAGTGATCAGGTCTATGCAGCCCATCCTCTAAGGCCAAGGGGGCTGAGAGGCTAAAGAAAAAGGCTGACAAACCCAGTTTCTCTGAAAAAAAAAAAATTTAACGATGTAGCAACAGAAACTATGTCTCAGTTGGCCCCATGGTGGCGGGTCCTTGCACCACCTTCCAGAAAATATCTTTTATTGATTTATTTATTCATTTTTGGACACAGGTTCTTGCTCTTTTACTCAAGCTGGAGTGCGGTGGTGTGATCCTGGCCCACTGCAACCTCAACCCCCTGGGCTAAAGCGATCCTCCCATTTCTGCCACCTGAGTAGCTGAGACTACAAGTACATGCCACCATGCCTGGCTAATTTTTGTATTTTTAGTAGAGAAGGCTACTAAACCCAGGCTGGTCTCGAACTCCTGGACTCAAGTGATCCACCTGCCTCAGCCTC
The DNA here is from genome assembly GCF_000001405.40 of Homo sapiens. Lineage (NCBI taxonomy): Eukaryota > Metazoa > Chordata > Mammalia > Primates > Hominidae > Homo > Homo sapiens. The sequence goes on along the minus strand of NC_000001.11, from coordinate 242,140,403 downwards.
CCCAAGTATTGGGATTACAGGCATGAGCCACAGTGCCCAGCCTCAGAAAGTATCCCTTACATAGCAAGGTTTTGGGATATAATATGTTCAGCTGAAAGCAGCAGGAACTCTCAGACTTTCTTGCAAAAACTTGTAACCACTGTGGAGGTTAGATAAGCATCTTTATGAGGGGTTATCTATGTAGGATTATCTATGATATGGGCATTGTTTGAAGATCTTGCTGCAAAAGACCTTGTGCCGAACACGTTGGTGTGCAGGAGTCAAACATTGGTCCTCATGGTGGTTTTACTTCAAGATGGCATCATGCTGGCCATGGAATAGGTTGTTTTCCTGCAATGCAGAAGCACACGTAGGGGCTGTACCTCTAGGTACTGCTTGCCAGGAAGGCGAGAAAAGACCCAGGAGTCATCAGCTTCCACTTTTCCTAGTTGCAAGAGATCCTAAGATCCTAAGTTGCAGGAGAATCACACCTACAGAAGAGTCTCTTCAGACAGAAATCTTCCCTGCCAATGGCCTCTGTAGCATCCCTGGCCAAGCGGCAAGCAGAGGCCAGATGCTCCATCTGTCTGGACTACCTGAGACACCCAATGACCACTGATTGCAGGCACTACATCTGAGGTGCCTGCATCCACCAATGCTGGTAAGAATTACAGGACATCTCTCCCTGTCCTGTCTGCCTCCAGCACTGTCCTGACAAGAACCTCAAGAGGAACTTCCAGTTATGCCACATGACCGATATTGCTAAGCAGCTTCTCACCACTGCAAGGCGCAAAAGGAAACTGCAGGGAGAGGAGCCCGTGTGCAGGAAGTCAGATGTGGCCCTGTTCTGTGAGAAGGATCCTGAGCTACTGTGTCACCAGTATAGGGTCTCCCTCGACCACTGAGATCACCCCCGATGCCCATTGAACAAGCTGCAGCTAAGCACAGGAAGCAGTTCGAGAGCTACATTGAACCCTTGGAAAAGCAAGTTGAAGACGCTGCCATGGGGTGTGAAATGCACATCTAAGAATCTTTTGCAGTGACCAGGAAGGAGGAAAAGCAGAGGAGAAATTTATTTTCTGAATTGGAACAATATAAGCATTTCTCAAGAATGAAACAAGTTGCAATTCATGGCAGGCTACTAATTGAAAAAGAAAAATTAAAAAAAAAACCTAACTGAAAACAAAAGCAGAAATTGAGACCATATTTTCACCTTAGAAAAATCTGCTTTGTGAAATAACACAGTAGTATTTGCAGGCAGACCTGGGGTTACTGACAAGTTTTGAAAGTGTCCATAATAAGCATGAAAACCTGAAAACCCTTGCAGTGTTGTCACATGAATCAAACAATGAGATTTTCAGTGTCCCTCTCCAGCATTCAGGTCTGCAAAAAGTGACAGCATGCTTGAGTCAGATTTGACAGTAGGTCCTAAGACTGCCTACCCTAAATTTATTAGCATGAAAAATAGAAAAAGTAGGAAATTTGAGATAGGGAGACCAAACTTTGCTCATAATATCAAACCATTTAGTTCTTACACAGTTGTGGCCCCTGAGAGGTTTAATCCTGGCAGGTAGGAGTAAGAGGCACAGGTGTGTGGTCCTTCAGTGTGTGTAAAGACTCTTTCCCCAGAGATGCTCATACAGCACCATCCCCAAGAAAAAGATGGTAATTCCAGCAATGGAGTAATTGTTGGAGGATATGGGATGTAGCCCCACGTGAGCAGATTGGCCTTTCTCCAGACCACCAGTTGAGAGAAGTTTCATTTTATAATTTGCATGCTGGATCATATTTGTTAACTGTTGCTGATATGTTTACAGAAAAATATGTGCTTTATTTCCGCATTGGACCTTTATAAAATCTCTTGCAATTACTATAGTCAGTGATGGATAGTATTCTACCTGAAAAACTATTTTGTATCATATATTTTCTTCCAGTGTTCTTCGAGGGGATTTCTAATAAAGAATGTGACTCTGAAAAAAAAAATCCCTTCTAATCTAATGCAATATTTCCCTTACTTGAATCCTACAGAATGTTGGTGCTATTTCCCCTAAGCTGCTTATCAGATTCTGCTTTGTTTTATAACTCATTTTATGCTTGTTTTTTTAATCTCCTTTCCCAACTGCCATCACTCTTGCATCCCCCAACCACCCATGCACACCCATATATTTCAGGGATCAGGACATGCTCATTGTTTATCCTGCTTCTTAATACAGTGCCTTGTATGTGAGAGATGCTCAGTATTTAATTATTGGATTAAATTATTTATAAATCTGGGATACCAGTCTACGAACTAAGCAGTCGTCACCTTTTTATAAAAATTGCATTGCTTGTAAGATTGGCAAAATTATCATTTGATAATTATACGTGGTATGCACACATTGTTCTGGTAATGTTTGGTTACCAGACTGCTTTCTGTGCTATAACTACCCTCAGACATCTAATTCATTTAAATTATTGATGACAGCCATGTCTTAGTAACCCATAAGCATGTGGAAAGAACTGAATAATTAAACTTTCATTTTCAATCCAAATGAGAATTTTCAAATGGGCAAACAAAGCATCTGGCCTTTTCTTTTCTTTTTCCCCCACATTCAGTGGCATTACTTTCATTTCTCCCATCAGGTGATACTTAAGGAGCAGCTTTCTCTGCCATTGGTATTTAGTGTCTCTGTGGCTTTGATGCATGTTTGAAGATGCTCTCAGCCCAGGTTTATGATCAATGGGATCCTATTGCCCTGCTGCTCATGGTACACTTGGCTGTACTTTATAGGATGGTTCTCCCCAAAGAATCTTGCAAGTTCGAACCACACTGGGCTGGCTAATGGAAAATCTTCAACACATTTCCCCCTACAAGATTGCTGGAAACATTTCCACCCCATCAGATTGCCAATCTGGTTCCAAATAGGATATCCCTAAAACGTGTTATTATTGTGGCTGTTTTTTAAGACAATATTGGTTGTGCCACAGGTAGCGACTATCTGGAGCTAGTAGCATGGGAGGAAAAAAGAATTTACCAAGACGGTTTTAGGTAAAGAAAGGCAGATTTATTAGAGAAAGTAGGAAAGTATGTTGCAAGGAAGCAGTGGGCAGGCCAGCAAGAGAAGAGCTGAGCGCAAAGAGATAAAGGGTTACTGGGGATTTTATAGGATGGTACTTGTGCTGTGTGCTGGAGAGGGCTTCGTACAGTAATGATAATGCCAAAGTTACAGTGAGCTAACTTGCATTTTCCAATCAGCTGAGTGTCTGATGATAGCTGGGTATAGGAAGATTGTGAGTTATTTGCCCAGGAGGGCTATGTGTCCTGGACCATGAAGAAAGGCAGATTTGTAGCTTATCTCCTTTTTCTTTCTGTTTTCCCCTGCTGCTGCCAGACTGACTTCTTTTTCCTCATTAGGACTCCACAGGTTATATTCATGGGGAAACAATAGTAAACTACTTGCATAAGTTTTCTCAGCCCCACACACCTATCCCTGTTCAAGCCCAGTGAAATGTTCTGTATTTTATAGCCTTCAACCAGCCATTTGCCAAGCAGCTATTGGACTGTCTCCCATCCCGGATACTTAAGATGACTTCCTTCCATTAACTGAAACATTGATTTGAGACAATCACTTTGCAAGTACATTGATCCCTTTAATGGGAAATTGTTACATAAGGTTCCCAGATTTCACATCTTACCCTGTTTTTGAATATTGACACTTTCTAAAGCATTCCCACGTGAAGTTTGAAAGAGAGGTTGGTTGGATGTGTATTGAAAGGAGTCAGATGCACTACAGAAACACACACCTGGTACCATAGCCTCAGCAGAGTAGTGCTTTGGGTGTTTTGTGGGAGTTTAGCTCTAGAAATTAACAAAAGGATTAGACAAGGATTCAGTTCATCTCGGTTGTATTTCCATATTCATGCCCATACTGTGAGGTTAGAATATCAATTTCTCAAACGACGTTGGAACACCTTGAGCAGCTGCTCCATTCAAAGCACTATGGGGAGGGTATGGTGAATACTAAAATGAAAAATACGACCAGTCTACAAGCAACAGGTGTAAGTCAAGAGTATATTACGATACAGCACAAAGGTCGATGTCACCTTTATAAAATTCTAACTGAATGTTTTGCTTATGGAAGGCAGAATGGAAGTGCCTTGGAGTGTTCACACCTGATTCAAATTCATGGGAACAGCCATAGGAGAATGAGGTTGAGCGACATGGTGAACAAACTATCAGTTAGTTACTCATGAAGCCAGAATGGAAAATGCAGGTTAGATGTGTGGTCAAAGTTGTGCCTCCTACTTCTATTTTCAGAAATGAACTTGCCAAAGTTAAAGGAGTCACAGCTGCAAATCTGCAGGTTGTGTATGTCCCCACGGAGGGTAGGGACAAAACAGTCAAAGACCAGGCTGCTCTTTCCTCCCTCGCCCTCCCACCCCGAGGAACAAGTTCAGGGAAACAGGCTGCTCTAAAGAAGGAGAGCCAATGCTCTGCATGCTAAATTCATTCCTTCGTCTCGCTAGGGAGGTCAATCTTCCTGCCACAGGAGGCGTAAGTCAGTGAGAAGTAGAAAGGAGGAGGAAGTTATGTTTTTTAATGCTTCCAAAAGGGTAGAAGTACTTAATCTTTGGGCCAAAGCCCTGGGCAAAGTAGAAACCCTGGGAGAGTGAGAGGGTGGATCTCAAAGTCATGATGGAGATAAGGAGGACCAAGTTACAATATGAACTGAGATTCAATCATGACCCTGGATTGTATTTGGGACAGCCTTGTTAACTATTTTCATGCCAATGGCCCATCCTATTACAAGTGAAGATAACTTTATACCTCCAGTATCTTTCCATCAATAATCCTATGAGGCCTCTCTGCATTTGTTTTCCTAGCATCCAATGCTGAAAAATGGAAAACAGGTAGATGGGCAAGTTTCCTCTTGAAATTAGAAAGAGAAGGAAGGGAAATCTGTTTGAGTCAGGCAGCAGCAGAGAATGGCAAGTGCATTTGTAATTTTCATATGCAGGGTGCAGCAGGTCACTGCATGTCCGTGACCCTTTTCCTGGAGAGTGTAGGTGTGGCAGAAGGTATGGCAGAAGTGTGCACTCCAGCTCTTGTGCCTCAGCATAACTCCTGATGTCTGGTCAGTTATAATATTGCTGCTGTTAATAATTGCAAATGCTGTTACTCTACATAGCAGATATTGTCCTAAGCTGATTATACATATATATATATTTATGTGCAGATATAAATGTCTGTATATGTACGTATGCATATATATACATATGTCTGTATACACACACAAACAATAAATTATTTAATTATCCCAACAACCGTATGCATTTCATTACTACCCCACTTTACAGAAATGCTAAGGAATTTGTCAGTTACAAACACAAAAGATTAAGGGACTTGTCTAAAGTCAAGAAGGCTGGAGAGCTGGAAATCAATCCTGAGTCCTTGCTCTATCCACTAAGACACATAAAACTTTCTGGATGGGCAGCGATTGCACTCAGGGTTGCAGGCTAGCCCAGTGGTCGTCCAGACCAGAGGAGAAACACTGTCTTCTTTCATCATTCTGCAATGTTTCTGGAACTTCACAGACAGGGAAGCTATGAGAACCAATGGTGCTGGGAATCTAGATGTCAGGTTTCCTTTCAAAAAGCTAGACTTGCCCTTGTTGCTCCCACTGCTGTGGCGTATGTGTGGGAAAAGCAGTGCTGCTAGGGAGGGCATTGTTGAGGAGGAGAAGTCCAGCGAGCAATGCTCTAAATCACAAAGGAATGAATCAGAAGCAACACACAGAAGTAAAAACATTTCTCTGGGGCAAGAGGAAGATCCCCCTTTTCTGAACATTTTTACAGCGTTTCTCTACTTCAGGGTTTCTCCTAGACTCTGAAGACTAAATGTGTTTTATGAATTATAATCTACAAATGGAAACCCACTAAATTCCATCCACTTGTCCATGCCTCCCATTATTTGATGACTTGGCTGTAAAGGAAAGTAGCCTGAGATTTATACTTTTAAAAATTTTCTTTTTCTAATTATTTATTAAAAAAAAAAAAAAACTGAAGGCTACATCACCCAGTCTTCCCCAGTCAGCTTCCTATCCAAGGGCTAACCAGGCCTGACCCTGCTTAGCTTCAGAGATAAGGCATGTTCAGCATAGTATGGCTGTAGGCAAATTTTCCATTAGGAAATATTTGTTCTACCTATTATTTCATCTCTTCCTAAATAAAAACAAGCTTAATGGCTAATATGCACATTTCTGTTAATATCCTCTGCCTAAGTGGGGTGGGATGTTTATTTTACAAACCTGAAAGGGAAATACAGTCACTCAGGTCTTGCCCAGTGTTTTGTCAAAAGAATAGATTCTTCGAGGGATTTGAAAAGGGAATCAAATACAACCCACTGAAACTGGAATGACCTCAACTTCCTCACTGCTCATTAAGAAGCTAAGACGACAGAAAGCAGGAAGGTCAGGAGGAGCCACGATGGCATTTTGGCATAATTTTCAACTGTCTTAAAAAAGTATGATGAAATTAAAGTACTGCAAGAAATAACTGATATGCATTTCCAATTTGTTTCATCTCATTTCACTCTCAGGCCCCATTCCTTTAAGATTCCTCCCATTAATATTCTCCAGTTACTCTACTCAAGGTTTTATCTGTTGATTTTCCTTTGCCTAGATAAAGCCAAGAATTGTTGTGTGAATTCCTTCTAGCTAGAATTCAAAGATGCCAAATGAATAATTGTCCCTTAGAGAGTTTTTAGATCCTTATAAAAGATGAAGCATTGACTACAGTGAAAGGGAGGAAGAAAGGAAAGGAGGGAGGGAAGGAAGAAAGAAGGAAAGGAAGAATGAAGGGACATTATTCTGTGATCTTGCAAGTCACTTCCCCTTTTGTCATCTCAGTGTTACCAGTGGAGGGTGTCCAGGTTCTTGGTGTTTTGAACAAAGAATTGGACAAAATGCGCAAACAAAGCAATGAAAGAAAAATGACAGATTTATTGAAACAAAAGTATACTCCACAAAGTGGGAGCAGGCTCAAGCAAGCAGCTCAAGAGTGCTGGTTACAGAATTTTCTGGGGTGTAAATACCCTCTAGAGGTTTCCCATTGGTTATATGTTTACACCCTACATAAATGAAATAGTGGCCCACAACCAGTCTGATTGGTTGCCTCCTGTGACCAGTCAGAGGCTAAAGTGAAGTTACAAAATTATACCCTATGCAAATGTCTGATTGGTTGGGGAGGGTGACCAATCAGAGGCTGAAGTGAAGTCACAAAGTTATACCCCTATGCAAATGAAGACTAGGCCCCTGACCAGCGTGATTGGTTGCGGGAGGGGACCAGTCAGAGGTACTTTCCATTTCTCTTGTGTGATGCAGAGAAAAGGTGTGGGGTGTGGGCGGTGTGCGGGGGTGGGAAGAGAGGGGGGAGTGGGAGGGGTGGCTGCAAAGGGAATAGCCTCTGATCCTTTTGTTACTTGGGTGTGGAGTGGTGGGGTTTTCCTTTTGATTCAAATCAGTCTTAGGTTCCCTTCCTCCAGACCCTATTCTGCTGCCTCATCAGTATCCTTAATTTTGAAATAAAGTTGAACTAACTGTTCTCTAAGATTCTAACATCCTCCCCTGTCTCTTCAATTAGTCATGTTCCTTCTGGCAGGCATTATGATTCCCATGTGGTAGACATGGAAAATAAGACATCAAGAAGTTAAGTGGTATAAACCACCCACTGTGGGAATGAAGGGGCGGGAGAGTAAGCACATTTCTGAGCAGGAGGCTGCTTTCAGCTCCCAAGATTCAATTCTTGATTTTCTATCCCCCGTAACAAAAATTTCACCTTGAGGGCAGAAACAAAATCAACTTAGAGCTCCTAGTAATTAAATTTCCTGCAGCAACTCAGAATATAAATCAGCAGCTAACTGGATGCATGTGAGCTGCTCCCAGTTGCAGGTTCTTTTGTCTTTGTCAAGAAAATTAAAGAAATACTTGTTCACATTTCTATAAAATCATGGAAACAACAAACTGGGCATCTGTAAATGATAAATTGAGCTTTCTTGAGCTAACTCATATTAATTATTCTGAATTACAGCAAAGAACGGTGCTAATGTCTCTCCTCTCTCCATTCTGATGACAACAGCATCCATCAGACACCCGCGCTGGTTTCCGCATCACTAATAAAACCCACCAAACTCTGTCTCTCTTTATGCTGCCTCTCATGACCTAGCTAAAAATGATTCCGCCCCCCCCCCCCCCCGCAATCACTGCATTCTCTTTGATGACCACCTTTCACTAATTTTGACAAAATAAGAAATAAAAGTCTGGGCGTGGTGGCTCATGCCTGTAATCACAGCACTTTAGGAGGCTGAGGTGGGCAGATCACCTGAGGTCATGAGTTCAAGACCATCCTGGCCAAGATGGTGAAACTCTATCTCTACTAAAAATAAAAAATTAGCCAGGCATAGTGGCGTGCTCCTGTACCAGCTACTCGGGAGGCTGAGGCAGGAGAATTGCTTGAACCCAGGAGGCAGAGGTTGCAGTGAGCCGAGATTGCGCTACTGCACTCCAGCCTGGGTGACAGAATGAGACTCCATCTCAAAAAAAAAAAAAAAAAGGAAAGAAAGAAAAATACTTTTCTGGTGTAATTACGTGCTTCTCCTAATTCTTATTTTTATTTTGAAACCCAAAACACCTAGGCAGAAAGAGGAGGACAAGCACATGGCAAGTAGGACCTGGCCCCCACCCACAGGGAATGCCTAGTCTTGCCAGTGCTTCACTTGGCAAATAATCCTTCCTGAAGATGAAACATTAAACTCATTTTTGAGTATTCTTGTATCAGCTTTCTTGAAGACCCTTAATCTCTTTGTACCTCGGTTTTCTTACTGTGAAATGGGTTGTCGTGAGGTTTAAATGCATGTAGACATATGAAGCCTTGAGAACAGTACCTGGAGCACAGCGAGCACTATAATTAATTAGCATTGCTTCTCTTGTTATCAATCGACCACACAGGGACAACTAACATCTCCTTGGATTGTATGAAACCCAAACCCTCCCACCAAAGTCCCCCGTACTTCAAAATGTCATAGTGCAAGAGAGAGAACGGAACCACTGACATAACTTGAGTTTTTTTGCTGTTGTTTTTTTTGAGACAGAGTCTCACTCTGTTGCCAGGCTGAAGTGCAGTGGCACAATCTCGGTTCACTGCAACCTCTGCCTCCCAGGTTCAAGCAATTCTCCTGCCTCAGCCTCCCAAGTAGCTGGGATTACAGGCACAAGCCACCATGCCCAGCTAATTTTTTTGTATTTTTAGTAGAGATGAGGTTTCACCATGTTGGCCAGGATGGTCTCCATCTCTTGATCTAGTGATCCGCCCACCTCGGCCTCCCAAAGTGCTGGGATTACAGGCGTGAGTCACCGCGCCCGGCCATAACTTGAGTTTTCAATAAAATGACTATCCTGATAACAGCTTCTTGACAGTGGACTACAGTTGTTGAGACCTTAATTAAGCCTCTCTCAGCTCCATGGGTTCATCACTAACAATATGCCCACTTTGTAAAAAAAAAGAAATCGATCTCTTCCAAAGAATAATTAGCTATAAATATCCAGCTTTTTCAGGATGATTTTCTTCAAACGGTTGAACCATTCAGTCAATCATTTAACTTAATTTTGACTGCATAAATCAACTGTGTGATTGAACTAGGAAGTCAGAGCAGCCCATCAGGATGCTCTGTGGCGTGTGGTCGGCCACAGAGGCTGGACAGGGCTGAGCAACCTATCGCCAGGCAGAGGGCTGATCCTTGGCAAGTCCTCAGATAACTATTTAAAATTAAAAAAATAATAGATGTTTGTGAGGGTATGGAGAAAAGGGAATCCTTATACACTGTTGGTGGGAATGTAAGTTAATACAACCTCTATGGAAACAGTGTGGAGATTTCTCGAAGAACTAAAAATAGAATTACCATTCGATCCAGCAATCCCACTACTGTGTATCTACGCATAGCAAAAGAAGTCATTATATCAAAAAGAAAGGTGCCTTTGTATGTTTATCATAGCACAATTCACAGTAGCAAAGATGTGGAATCAAAGTATTCATCAACAGGCCTGGTGCGGTGGCTTATGCATGTAATCCCAGCACTTTGGGAGGCCAAGGCGGGTGGATCACCTGAGGTCAGGAGTTTGAGACCAGCCTGGCCAACGTGGTGAAACCCTGTCTCTACTCAAAATACAAAAATCAGCTACATGTGGTGGCGGGAGCCTGTAATCACAGCTACTTGGGAGGCTGAGGCAGGAGAATCACTTGAACCTGGGAGGCAGAGGTTGCAGTGAGCCAAGATCGCTCCATTGCACTCCAGCCTGGGCGACAGAGTGAGACTCCATCTCAAAAAAAAAAAAAAAGATGTTCATCAACAGATGATTGGATAAAGAAAATGTGGTATATATACACAATGGAATACTATTTAGCCACAAAAAAGAATGAAATCATGTCTTTTATAGCAACATGGATGGAACTGGAGGCCACTATCTTAAGTGAAACAACTCAGAAATGCAAAATCAAGCACCACACATTATCACTTATAAGTGGAAGCTAAATAGTGTGTACACATGGACATAGAGAGTAGAATAATTGACATTGGAGATTCAGAAGGGTGAGAGCATAGGAGCGGGATGAAGGATGAGAAATTAATGAGTACAATGTATACTATCCAGGTGATGATGGTTACAATAAAAGTCCCCACTTCACCACTGAGCAAAATATCCACGTGACAAAACAGCCTTGTACTCCTTAAGTTCATTTTTAAAAATTAAGAATTTGTCAGCAAATCAGTCAGACCTTCAGCTTCTTTTCCCTTTAATAATCTAGACATAGAAATTCATCAGCAACCCAGATCTCTATATTATTTTTCCCATTGCCAGCATTTTAAAATTTGTCATAAATCTGTCCTGAATTTCTTGCTGTGGGCGAAAAAGCTGCAAAACAAAAGCCAGTTTTGTTCCATTTTGTTTGGTTGGTTTTTTTTCCATCATCGACAGCAGCCTGAACTAATACGTAAAACTAGAAATAGGCTTGAGTCATTCTAGGGTAGAGGAAGATATTCAGAGGAAATGTAATTCTCTTTACATCTCTAGAGGGCAGTGCTTGGCTTCTTGCCTTGACTCCAGGTCCTAAAGCTGTAATGTAGCCACAGAATGGAATGATGTCAGAGGTTGCAAATAAAACCTCACAGCAATCAGCAGCTTAGTTTATGCGACAGGGGAAATGGAACACTAAATCTTTGTTTAGAATAGAGTTATTAAAAATCGGAGAAAATCTAGACAGTACCCAGGGAGACGGTGCCCAGTTGCATCTTGATGGTGATAAATGGTTCATAAGGAGAGTCTTGGGGTAGATACATGCTGAGAATGTTCATAAATATTCTTCCCTCCATCTGATCCTGCCTAAAGGGACAAACATCACTCAGAATGATGGTGCCGTTACAGAAGCGTTTTTATGTTCCTCTTCCCAATTTTCCATTAGCTAATGCGGTTTGAGCCAGGCACTGAGCTAATATTTGCCTGTGCCTTTTCATTTATTCTTCACAGCAATCTTATGAAATATACCAATCTTCGGATGGAGGAAGTGAAGAGCTGAAGTGCCTTGCCCGTGGTGGAGCTAGTCTGTCTCCAGAGCCTGCTCCATAGGTGACTTGCTACATCCTAACTAGGCCATATTGGTCTCTCTCTAGTTTCTGTGCTCCCTGGGCAGGGAGGAGCTATCAGAGTTGGCATCCTGGTACCCTTCTGGGTGTCAGTTTTCAAAATAATAGTTATCCAGAATAATCACATCCTATCATATTGAAGAGCAGTTGTCTTTCTTCAGATTGGTGGAGCTTGCAATAGTTGTTTTTGTTTGCTTGATTTTCGTCTTCAACAGCAGCCTGAACGTGCTGTGACTACTTCATTTAATATCATTCTACACATCAGGAGAGAGTCAGCAGGGAGTGTGGCAGGGGCAGCTGCTTTGATCCACGGCCACTGCCTTTGCCTTTCATCTGCCCCAGCCTCAGTAGAGAGGGCAAACATCCACATGAAGATTAGCAGACAAATACTTCTGAGAAACAAGGTGGATAGGGAAATAGCATGGTTTTTTTTTTTTCTTTCTTTCCTTGAGACAGGATCTTGCTCTGTTGCCCAGGCTAGAGTGCAGTAGGGCAATCACTGTTCACTGCAGCCTTGAACTCCTGGGCTCAAGGGATCCTCCCACCTCAGCTGACCAAGTGGCTGGGATTACAGATTTGTGCCTCCACACCAAGCTCATTTTTTATTTTTTTGTAAAGACATGGTCTCACGATATTGCCCAGACTGTTTTTGAACAAACAATCCTCCCATGCCTGACTTTAAATAGCATATTCTCATGCAAGCTTTGAGCAGTTTTCCAAGCATTAGTGTTTGCCACGTGTGAGCAAATGACCTGAAAACACCACGGGTCTGACATGGAGAAACCAAAGGAAATCAGAGAGACCTGAACATAGTAAAAGTGAACTATGGCCACTGAATTTGCCTTTTGGACTCAAAAGTCAAATGATTCCCTTGATATCTGCTTTCGTGGAGGCCTATCTCTGGCTCTACTAGGCTTGAATAGCATTGATTTCGTTATATTTATTTATATTCCATAAGTCTTTGAGCAACTGGTGGTATTTGATTACACAAGTTCTTTAGTGGTGATTTGTGAGATTTTGGTGCGCTCATCACCCAAGCAGTGTACATTGAACCCAATTTGTAGCCTTTTATCCCTCACCCCCTTCCCTTCCCCCATGTCTCCCAAGTCCCCAAAGTCTGTCATATCATTCTTATGCCTTTGCATCCTCATAGTTTGGCTCCCACATATGAGTGAGAACATATGATGTTTGGTTTTCCATTCCTGAGTTACTCCACTTAGAATAATAGGCCCCCAATCCCATCCAGGTTGCTGTGAATGCCATTAATTCATTCCTTTTTATGGCTGAGTAGTATTCCAACATATGCATATATATCACAGTTTCTTTATCCACTCGTTGATTGATGGGCATTTGGGTTGGCTCCACATTTTTGCAGTTGCAGACTGTGCTGCTATAAACATGGATGTGCAAGTATTTTTTCGTATAATGATTTCTTTTCCTCTGGGTAGATACCAGTAGTGGGATTGCTGGATCCAATGGTAGTTCTACTTTTAATTCTTTAAGGAATCTCCACACTGTTTTCCATAGTGGTTGTACTAGTTTACATTCCCTCCAGCGGTGTAGAAGCGTTCCCTGTTCATCACATCCACGCCAACATCTATTATTTTTTTATTTTTTGATTATAGCCATTCTTGCAGGAGTAAGGTGGTATCACATTGTGGCTTTGGTTTGCATTTCCCTGATCATTAGTGATGTTGAGCACTCTTTCATATGTTTGTTGGCCATTTGTATATCTTCTTTTGAGAATTGTCTACCCATGTCCTTAGCCTACTTTTTTATGGGGTTGTTTTTTTCTTGCTAATTTGAGTTCATTGTAGATTCTTGATATTAGTCCATTGTCAGATGTATAGATTGTGAAGATTTTCCCCCACTCTGTGAGTTGTCTGTTTATTCTGCTGACTGTTCCTTTTGCCATGCAAAAGCTCTTTAGTTTAATTAAGTCCCGGCTATTTATTTTTGTTTTTATTGCATTTGCTTTTGGGTACTTGTTCATGAAATCCTTGCCTAAGCCAATGTCTAGAAGGGTTTTTCCAGTGTTATGTTCTAGAATCTTTGTGGTTTCAGGTCTTAGAGTTAAGCCCTTGACCCACCTTGAGTTGATTTTTGTAGAAGGTGAGAGATAAGGATCCAGTTTCATTCTCCTACAGTGTCTTGCCAATTATCCCAGCACCATTTGTTGAATAGCGTGTCCTTTCCCCACTTTATGTTTTTGTTTGCATTGTCATAGATCAGTTGGCTGTAAGTATTTGGGCTTATTTCTGGGTTCTCTATTCTGTTCCATTGGGCTATGCGCCTATTTTTATACCAGTAACATGCTGTTGTGGTGACTGTGGCCTTATAGTATAGTTTGAAATCAGGTAATGTGATGCCTCCAGATTTGTTCTTTTCGCTTAGTCTTGCTTTGGCCTATGCAGGCTTTTTCGTCCCATATGAATTTTAGAATTGTTTTTCCTAGTTCTGTGAAGAATGATGGTGGTATTTTGATGGGAATTGCATTGAATTTGTAGATTACTTTTGGCAGTATGGTCATTTTCACAATATTGATTCTACCCATCCATGAGCATGGGATGTGTTCCCATTTGTTTGTGTCATCTATTCTTTCAGCAGTGTTTTGTAGAGATCTTTCACCTCCTTGGTTAGCCTCAGTCCTTTTGCACATGCCTGATATGCCCTACCTGCTCTATCTCCTTTCACTTAACCGCTAATAGTCCTTAATGTGTCTGTACATCTCACTCTAGGAATCTATATTAAAGGCGCACAAAGATATATCAGGATGCTCATTGTTTTATTTTTGCATTAGGGAAAGTATAGGAATGAAGTCTATCAGTGGGTTAAACAACTTGTGTCCATCTATCCTGTGGTTACCATGAAGCTGGAAATCGATGACAGATCTGTACAGAGGAACATGGAAAGATCTCCAGGCCATGTTGTACTGGGGAGTCCTGGGAGCAAAGAGAGACAGGTTCATACATGGTAGATGACCTCTCCTATCATCCTGAGTAAAGAGTCTTGGGGAAGGGCTTAAGGAAGGGATAAAAAGGGAGTTTACTATCAATGGGCCCTGGGTCTTTAGAGAGCCAAGGTTTCCCTAATAACCCCTCACTGGGTGTTCAAGTCATAGAAAGCATGTATTTTTGTGTGCTGTTCTTTAATGACCAAAATTTCACATTGTATAGTTTCATTGACTAAATTAAAAATCATCTGTAATTTTTGCAAAGGGATACTGGACTCAACTGAAGCCAGTATAGCTATGTTCCTGAGTGTATTTGATTAGGGGTCAGAAAACCTGCACTCAATTCTTAATTTACCACTGACTAAATCTCTAACTTGGGGCTAGTATTTTTACTTATTTGTGTGAGCTTTACTTTCCTCATCCATGCCTTGAGAGAGGTGGACAAAATGATCTCTGTGGTCTTTTAAGATGCTATTGGTCTATTACTCTTAAGGCTTGTGTAACGTTAATAAGAATAATAATTACTAACATACTGCTAGTGATTACCATGTGATAGACACTTCTTATATGTATTAACCATTTCAATTATCATAGCAACATATGAAATAAATACTATTATCTCTATTTTACGGAAGAAGAAGCTGAGGCCCAGAAATTAAGTATGTTGTTCAAAGTCACACAGCTAGAAAGTTGTGGAGCTATTAACAGAACCTCAATCCAGGCAGTCTGACTCCAGAATCCATGATTCCAGCCAGAATCCATGATTCCAGCCATTCGGTTATGTTGCAAGTAAAATTGACCTTTTTCTTGCCACCTGATTGAATGAGTCATACAAAAAAAGTGTTAAGGAAACAAATCTGAAGAGCTGATGTGAAAAGTATAGATGAATATAAGAAATTATAGATGACTATAAGAAAATTAGAGACCTAATACAAAAAACCAGCAAAATTTTACTTAAATATTTAGCATTTTTATAACATATCACCTCTATGTACCATAATGTAACTATATCTACTTACTTCAAATGCAAGAAAAAAGATGTCACAACTACCTCATTCTTATGCATTCCTTTTTTCTCTGAAAATAACACCAAAAGACACACATGGCATTGATGCTTTCAATTTTAATTTCACAGATGAAAGAACTCGGTGTCATCTTCTACAACTGCAGCTGCCTGGTCCTAGATTTACAAAGGATATTTGCTCTATATAGTTCATTAAAATTCAAAAGCAGAGTGCCTCAAACCTGGTCCAAAAGACTCTATGGAGTCTATGACAATGAAAAGAAATTGCAACTTCAGTTGAATGAAACCAAATCTCAAGCATTTGTATCGGTGAGTTGTTTTCCCTTTCTCCTCCCCTTCTCCTTCTTCCTCCAAAGGCTCTTTATTAAGTTGGAATGTTTAAGTGTGATCTTGTATTGGGCAAAAATGAATTACAGTGGTTCTATCCCATGACGTGAAGAGTTAAAATGCGTCCACCCTTACACGCAATCATACCCTCAAATATAATAAATCTTGATCATCATTCCTTGTGTCAGATACCTTGAGTTATCTGATTTGATTCCCTCAATCACCCTGTAAGCTAGGTATGGGGTTGTGTCCATTTTGCAAATGAAGGTATCGACCTTACCTACTAGCAAAAAGCCCATCCGATGGGACATGCTAAGAGCGGAGCCAGCACCCAGCTCTTCTGACACCAGAGCCTGTTAGCCTGTTTTCAATGCCCTACATTGATTTTTCAGACTTGTTTTTATCAGAACCCTTTGATGAGACAAATCTGAGGGAATCTCAGTGTATAGATCAGACAAAAGCAGAGCTGCTGTACCTGGTTGGGGCAAGCAGGCAAGAGGCCCACACAACAGGACAGTGCTCCTTGCACAGCTTCGGGCCTCTGACTCTGCTAAGAACCATTAGCCACACCCTCCACCCACCCTCACCTTCCCAGTCCACCACCCAGCTAGGCACATGCCACAGCTATCCAGAGATGTTACTGGAAAGGGGCAATGTAAATATCTGGGCCTACAGTCCTAGTCCTCAAACTGTAGTACAGTAGATCCTTCAATAACATCGTTTTGTTCAATGCCCATTCATTATCATGTTGATAAGAAAAAAAACAATTGATTTTCGGCTGGGGCCACCGTGTGTGTGGAGTTTGCACGTTCTCCACCTGTCTGTGTTGGCTTTTGCCGGGTACTGCTGTTTCCTCCCACATCTCAGAGCTGTGCAAGTGGAATGAACTGGCAGATCTGTGTGGTCCCAGTGTGAGCGAGTGTGAATGTGTGTGTGAGTGGTCCCAGTGTAAGCGAGTGTGAATGTGTGTGTGAGTGTGCTCTGCGATGGGATGTCCTCCTGTCCACAGGGGTCCCGGCTGCGAGGGGCTCTGGCCACCTGTGACCCTGAACTGGAGTAAGAGGGTAAATAATTATTTTACTTGTTTTTATTAGTCTTTCTTAAATGTATGTATAGCTCACATTTGTTTCAATGTTTAATATTCAAAGTGTTTTGGTCTTTAGAAGTTTGATGCTGTTTTTGGGACCAGAAATAAGCCATAGCAACTTAACTCTCCTTTATATCAATTAGCCTATGGTACCATTGTTTTCATCATACATCAGTTTGCTTAAAGTCATAGTATTCAAGAACCTGTCGGCGTCATTAAGTGAGGACTTACTGTACTTAAGAATTGGCTACGAAGTATGCTTAAAGTGCAGATTTATAGTGTCCCCTGTCCCCACCCAGGATCTTATCCACTGGATCTGAGATGAGATCTTAGAATTTTTATTTGAAGCAAGCTTCTGAAATTATCCTGATGTTCAGATCAACTTCTCTAAGTAATGCTCCCAATTTAATATTGCTATTTCAACCTTGGTTGATATTGGTGCTTTTATGCCAACAACTTTTTTGTCACTAAACAGCATTTTGTTGAAGATAAAGTGAATTGTATCCTTTTTGCCTGTTCAAAGGAAAACACCAGCAGAAAATTTAGAAGTGTAACAATAGAAAGAAAACACAAAGTTCAAGTTGTCTTAAATAACAAATTCACATAAATGTGAAGAGCAGAAAATAGACTATGAAGGATGTTCATCAGCTGGAGGTAAAATAACATTTTTGTATGGAGGAGGTCAAGAATGGAGTAGCAAGTAGCATATTATAGGGCATTTTACGAATAAATATAAATATAAATTATATAGACATTTTCAATTCATCTCAAGATGACCCTATAAGACCAGGAGGCCAAGGAGTATTCCTAATTTGTGGATGAGCAGCAATAGAAAATTTGCCAAGGAACCTTTAATCCAGAGGGCCACAGGGTGACACTACATGCCAAGCGTGGATCGCTTGATCAGATCCAGTAGAAAAACAAATTGGAAATAGCAAAAAATAGATGAATTAATGAACAAATTTTGAATAATCACTGGATTTTGAATTTACAGTTTCAACCTTGGAGATAAGTGAATATGGTTGTTGCATACATTTACATACTAACCCTTAAACAGGGAAAGAGTCAGTTTTTTGTTGATTTTAAAGCTAATGTATTTCCCAGAGAGAGTGGTCTCAGGCCTTTAGTAAAATCTACTACAATTCGATACCTTTGTTATTTTCTAGGGCAAATTCATAAGTGGCTTTTTCTTAAAGAGTTCACCACAAAAAGAGCTGTGAGACATTTCTTTGGGTAGTTTTTTAAACTGTGTAATACCTTTTCTTTTGTTTAAATTATACTTTAAGTTCTAGGATACATGTGCACAACGTGCAGGTTTGTTACCTATGTATACATGTGCCATGTTGGTGTGCTGCACCCACTAACTCATATTTACATTAGGTGTATCTCCTAATGCTATCCCTCCCCCCTCCCCCCACCCCATGACAGGCCCTGGTGTGTGATGTTCCCCTCCCTGTGTCCATGTGTTCTCATTGTTCAGTTCCCACCTATGAGTAAGAACATGCGGTGTTTGGTTTTCTGTCCTTGCGATAGTTTGCTGAGAATGATGGTTTCCAGCTTCATCCATGTCCCTACAAAGGATGTGAACTCATCCTTTTTTATGGCTGCATAGTATTCCGTGGTGTATATCTGTCACATTTTCTTAATCCAGTCTATCATTGATGGACATTTGGGTTGGTTCCAAGTCTTTGCTATTGTGAATAGCGCCGCAATAAACATATGTGTGCATGTGTCTTTATAGCAGCATGATTTATAATCCTTTGGGTATATACCCAGCAATGGGACGGCTGGGTCAAATGATATTTCTAGTTTACTTTCTTTTTTTATTTACTTATTTTAACTTCCTGTTTTATTTTCTATTTTTTAATAATATCAAGCCTGCCTTTGAATTTCAATTCAACAGATATTGATTGAACACCATTTCTGGAGAGGTATAAAATCCTACAGGTACAAAAACAGTCAGAAAACCCTGCAACTGGAATTGATATCATTCAGACAGAGTTCCT
This sequence comes from Homo sapiens, assembly GCF_000001405.40. NCBI lineage: Eukaryota > Metazoa > Chordata > Mammalia > Primates > Hominidae > Homo > Homo sapiens. The sequence goes on along the minus strand of NC_000001.11, from coordinate 242,121,356 downwards.
TGAACTCCCTTCTATTATAACTTTTATAACTATTTATTTATAATCATCTTTCCCACCATTTTATTAGACTCTGAAGATCACCTACTATTAATATATCCTCTTCATCATTGGTATTCCCAATACTTCACTTAGTGCTAGCTAAAAGCAGCAATGAATGTTGGATAGGTTTTATTAGTAGTAATATTAATAGAAAGCTCCAGAATGCATACAGTTTTCTCAGTAATATATGCCAGACAAATGCCAAGATGAATTTAATTCAATATATTTGTTGTATCTTAAAATAGTATATTTTTATAAGCTGATTGTCTCAAGACTAAGTTGAACACATACATAAAGAGTATTTGAAGACCTTAATAACCATTCTCAAAGTTAGATTTTAGATAATTGATAACTTAGCATAGTTAGATATAAATTTTAACTTATGATACAAATATGGATTATTTCCAGTTTTTTCATGGAACACAAATAGGCACTTAGATTTAACTGTGTGATTTCTAGTAACTTGGGCCAGATAATTCTCATTTTCTTGCATTTCCCATTGAAATTGGAGGATGGGAACAATAGTTGGCTGTTTCTGTCTTGTAGGTTTCTTTTTGGAGCCTTTAAGCTTAAGCAATTGCTTTCCAAGATAAAAGACTAGTTCAAGGTCTGTTTTTATTGATCTAGATGTTAGACAGATTTCATTTCTTGTTTATTGTTCAGTTAAGTCACCTGTCAGCCATGTATATGGAGATGTATTTAGTGAGTGAGGGCTGACATTAAATAGAACTTGATGCTGCTATGGAAAAATCCTGCATCACATTCCTCTTTAGAACCTTCTGCGTATATTGTAAATTAGTTTAACAGCCTTACAGAGACGTAATTTACACACCATAAAATTTACCCTTTTAAAGTATACAATTCAGGCTGGGCATGGTGGCTCACTCCTGTAATCCCTGCACTTTGAGAGGCCAAAGCTGGCTGATCACTTGAGGTCAGCAGCTCAAGACCAACCTTGCCAACATGGTGAAACCCCGTCTGTACTAAAAATACAAAAAATAAAAATAAAAAATAAAAAATAAAGCATACAATTTAGTGGGGTTGAGTATAGTCGCAGTTTTGCAACCATTTCTACAATCTGATTTTAGAACTTTTTTTCACCACAAAGAAAAAACCCCATACTGATTAGCCGTCACTATTTTCCCTTCTCTCAGTCCCTGGCAACCAGCAGTCTACTTTTTCTTTATGAATCTGCCTTTTTCTGGATATTTTATATAAATGGAATCATATACTATGTAGTTTTTTGTGATTGCTGCTTTCACCTAACATAATGCCTTCAAGGTTTATCCATATTGTAGCATGGACCAATACTGCCTTTATTCTTTTTATGGTTAAATAATTCCATTGTATGGATATTCCACACTTTGTTTACCCGTCTGTCAACAGATGGGCATTTGTACTACTACTATTTCTTGGCTATTGTAAATAGTGCTGCTATAAATATTCATGTACAGGTTTTTATGTGAATAGCTGTTTTTAATTCGAGTTTATACATAGGAGTGGATTTACTGGATAATGTGGTAACTCTATGTTGGACATTTTGAGAAACTACCAAACTGTTTTCCAAATTGGCAGCACCATTTTACAATCCCACCAGCAATATATGAGAGTTTTTATTTCTCCACATCCTCGGCAACACTTGTTATTTTCTGTCTTATTTTAGCTCTACTAGAGGGTATAAAATGTAATCTTATTTTTGTTTTGATTTAAATCTTCTAACGTGCTTATCGGCCATTTGTATCTCTTCTTTAAAGAAGAGACACAAAATATCTATCAAATATGAAATCTTTTGCCCATTTAAATTAAGTTATTTAAAAAATTTGTGTTGTAAGAGTTCTTTATACAGTCTGTATACAAGTCCCTTAAACAGAAATATGATTTTTTATAGAGACAAGGTCTTACTATGTTATTGGGGCTGGCCTAAAATTCCTGGGTTCAGGTGTCTGGTTTAAATATATGATTTTCCAATATTTTATTTCTTTCATTCCATGGGTTGTCTTTTCATATTTAATTATATTTGAACATATATATTCTACAAATAGAGTATATACTTTTTTAAAACCATGAAACTGTTAATGAAATAATTAAAAACCTGCTAAGGTCTGTACAAGGTGATTATTTAATGAGTATGCAAAATAAATTACATTCATATGGTGCCTACTGATCTAAGAGACAAACCCAGATTAACCTAGAAGTCAGGTCCCTCAAGAGCTCTTGACTGGTAAAAGATTGCCACAGAGCTGGAATATTGAAGAGGATCTGTATTTTCCCTCTTCTTCTACTTTACTATGGAACAAAGAAGTACACAGCACAAGGCTCGGAAAATTAATTCAGAAGTGATGAGAGGGAAACTTAGCCCTCTCTTTAATTAAACAGTTGGAACTAGTTAACTTCCTCTGCCAGCTCATTCTTTTGTGTTATTGTTTATTCATTTCTATTCTGGGCAGACATTTTACAGCCACTAGTCTATCCAGGCACTATTTTTAAAGGTAGAAGACTCTAGAACACATAGCAAAGTACCACTCAGCCCCCAGGTGCAAGGGGACTGATACAAATAATTATGCATTTCCTTCATAAACACATGGAGCTGGAGCACCTGCCATTGTGTCAGGCAGTGGGAACACAGGAAGCAATAAGGCAGGTCAGTGCTTATAAACATCTGTTGACACAGGTTTGGAAATACCCAGATTGAAGCAACAGACTCCAACAGACAAACCTCCAACATTTATGCATTTATGAAGCACTTTCACATTCGTTCCATAAGTATGTATTGAGCATATAATATGTGCATGGCACAAGATGCCAGAGATACACAACCAGGCAGCTCACAAGCAAGTGGCTAAACACATAGACAGATGAATGCAATGCCATGTAACATGCGCTAGAATGAAGTTCCACAAAGAAGGGATCTTGTCTTGGTCACTGATGTATGTCCCCTTCCTAGACCAGAGCCTAGGAATATTTGCTGATTGAATGAAAGCACGCACAGAAGAGGGGCATGGAACCCAGCCAGCAAACAGGCCATTCATTTATTTGAGCTTCAAGGCAAACCAGTATGAAAGGTGTGTTATTTTCATTAACCCCATTAGGAAACAGAGGCTCAAAAAGTGTAAGGGACACACCAAGATGCCCCAGGTTCTAAGTGCTGGAGTCTGGCCTGTATCACCAAAGCCCATGCTCTTTCCTCTAAATTATGGCCACAGTGTCTATACTTGTAAGATAACAGCAAATGTAAAGAGACCACAGATAACTCTGCCTACATTTGTTCCTCCCCAAAACCAAAATCTGGTTTTGGAAAAAGCAGTGAAATTCAGGGAGTTCCTAACTGAAACAAATGTGAGCATTTGGACACATTTCAGAGTCAGGCTTCTGAGAACCCATCTGGAGCAAAGATCTTCAGCTTCTCCACATTAACCAAAGAACCTTTAAAGCAGAGCCAACATGCTAAGGGAATTAAATAATTTGAATATTTTTAATGGCATAGGAAAATGAGTAACATACAATCCCTAAAATCCACTGAACTGTACACTTAAAAATGGTTATGATGGTAAAAAAAGAAAAAAGCAAAAGAAATAAATAGTATGGGAGTACAGGGTTGGGAAAAGCAACCTTTGATTGGAGATTTAAAAACAACTTCATTGCCAGGCGTGGTAGCTCATACCTGTAATCCCAGCACTTTGGGAGGCCGAGGCAGGTGGATCATGAGGTCAGGTGTTCAAGACCAGCCTGGCCAAGATGGTGAAACCCCGTCTCTACTAAAATACAAAAATTAGCCAGGTGTAGTGGCGGGCACCTATAATCCCAGCTACTCAGGAGGCTGAGGCAGGAGAATCACTTGAATCTGGGAGGTGGAGGTTGCAGTGAGCTGAGATTGCACCACTGCAGTCCAGCCTGGGCAACAGAGCAAGACTCCATCTAAAAAAAAAAAAAATTCATGGAGGAGATCACATTTGAGCTGGAATTCAGAGAACAGAATTAGTAGGACTTTGATAGACAAAAATAAAGACACATGAGCCAGAGAAGCCGGCATGAGCAGAGATGCCCAGAGTCAGACATGATGAGGGCACAGCCGTGGACTGGTAATTACTTGCATTTGGGGTCACAGACAGGATGGGAGTTGGCAAATGAAGGAGGCAGAGACACAGGACCATGGATACACCCCTCCCAATTAGTTCAAGCTGGATTCTGAGAAACCAGGAGTCAGTTCATCCTGGGAGTGATGTATATTTGTTTTTAAACATCTCAGAGATAAGGCAATGAGTTAGAAAGATGTTAGAACATCCCTGAAAGCAGCACTAGTGCCCAAGTGAGGGAAACTTACTGAGTGATCAAGAGTAAGAGGAGGGACAGACCCAGGAAACCCTGCAGAGGCACACGCTTTCTATCTTGGTGACAGATGGAGTATCTGTATATCTGTGTGCTGATGACAGAGGAGTGTAGGACTACCTTTAAAAAACAGACTTGAAGTTCATCCTCATTCCAAAAGAAAAAAATAAATGATCAAAAACTCATCCTGTAAAGAAAATATGGTACATATGCACCATGGAATACTATGCAACCATAAACGAGAATAAAATCATGTCTTTTGCAGCAATGTGGGTGCAGCTAGGGGCCATTATTCTAAGGAAATCACTGCAGGAACAGAAAACCAAATACCATGTTCTCACTTATAAGTGGGAGGTAAACATTGGTTACTCATGGACATAGAGATGGCAACACTAAACACTGAGGACCACTAGCGCATGTGGGGAAGGAAGGGGACATGGGTGGATAAACTATTGAGTACTATTCTCACTACCTGGGTGACGGGATCAGTTGTGCCTCAAACCTCAGCATCACATAATATATATCCATGTAACAAACCTGCACCTGTACCCCCTGAGTCTAAAATAAAAGTTGAAATTCTTTTTTAAAAAACCGACTCATCTTGCTCATGATCACCTGCCAAGAGGACTTTCTGTGTGAGGAAACCTGGAAGGTGTGTGATCCTCAGCATGCTCCTTCCTTATCCCTATGCCCCTATGCCCCTTCTAAGGTGGGCGTCCAGTCCAACAGCTCCATCTCACAAACCTCTAAGCTGGGGTGGGGACTCCTACTGTGCAGTGTAGGGAGTTGTTCCAGACATAATTGGTGAGGAGGAACTCTGACCGCCCAATACTACCATTCATTCCAGGCAGTTCCAAAAATCTGTTTATTCAGCCTTTTGGTCCTAAACATCCTGGCATTATTTATGTCCCATTATAATGCCCTGGCATTATTTATGTGATACTTGTCACAGCGTATCGCTTGTCAAAGTAAAACAGCAACTGTGGGAAACACTATTTTCAGTCCTGTCCAGTGGAAAAATAATGAGAAAACCAAACACATCTTTCCCTTTCTACAGCAACTCCATCTACAAACACCATATTTTTATAAGATGAAAACCACCTCAAGCAACAGGAGAAAAATGCCTCAAGCAGAATTTGCCTCTTTTTTTCATTTTGCTTAAATCTTTCAGAACATCCTTCTTCTCTGGCTCTCCTGCTGAATTTCGGCATCTTAATAGCTCCCTCAGATATTCCTTCACTGTTATCGATGACCTTTTCTCAACAATCAACACTTCTCCTAACTCAATGAAAGATTTTGGAGAAAAGAAAAAAACTCCAAGATTTTTTTTTTTTTAGATTTTGAGTTTGAAACATTTTTATGCCCACATCATCACATTTCAGATGAAATGAAAATGCTGGAGTAAATGGCTTGCTATGTGCAGTGTGTGTGCGTGTGTAGTAACACCTGAGAAAATTATTAGCTATGTATGACAGAATTGTGTAAGGTTGGAGGTGGAGTGCTCCTCCGAAAAGAAGTGTGTACACTGAAAGCAAGAATTCTCTCCTAAGTAAAAAGTAAAACAGAAGATACTAGAGGCTGGGGAAAGAGGGGGTGGGGAAAGATTTGTTAGTGGATATAAAAATAACAGCAAGATAGGAAGAATAAGTTCCATTGTTCTATAGCAGTGGTCCTCAACCTTTTTGGCACCATGGACTGGTTTCATGGAAGACAGTTTTTCCATGGACCAGGGTCAGCAGGGATGCTTTCAGGATGATTGAAGGGCATCACATTTATTGTGCACTTTCTTTTTTCTTTTTTTTCTTTTTTCTTTTCAGACAGCATCTTGCTCTGTCACCCAGGCTGGAGTGCAGTGATGCAATCTCGGCTCACTGCAACCTCTGCCTCCCGGGTTCAAGCGATTCTCCTGCCTCAGCCTCCCGAGTAGCTGGGATTACAGGTGCACACCACCACGCCTGGCTAATTTTTTGTATTTTTAGTAGAGACGGGGTTTCACCATGTTGGCCAGGCTGATCTTGAACTCCTGACCTCAGGTGATCCGGCCACCTCAGCCTCCCAAAGCGCTGGGATTACAGGCTTGGGCTACCATCCGTGGCTGTCACTTTATTTCTATTATTATTACATTGTAATATATAATGAAATAACTATACAACTCACTGTATTGTTGAATTAGTGACAGCCCTGAGCTTCTTTTTGTGCAACTAGATGGTCTCATCTGGGGCTGATGGGAGACAGTGACAGATCATCAGGCATTACAATCTCATAAGGCGATCACACAACCTAGATCCCTTACATGCGCAGTTCACAGTAGGGCTCACGCCCCTATGAGAATCTAATGCCCCCACTCGTCTGACAGGAGGCGGAGCTCAGGCGGTGACGCGAGCAAGGGGGAGCGGCTGTAAATACAGATGAAGCTTTGCTTGCCTGTCATTCACCTGCTCTGCAGCCCAGTACTGGTCCCTGGCCTGGGGAATAGGGACCCTTGTTCTATAGGACCGTAGTTAACTATGACTATACTTAACAATAATATATTAGATAGTTTCAAATAGTTAGAAGGAAGATATTGAATGTTTCCAATACAAAGAAATGATAAAGTTTGAGATGATAGATATGCTAATTACCATAATCTCATCACTATACATTATATGAATCACATCACTATGTGCCCCATAAATATATACAATTATGTATCAATTAAATTTTTTAATACATAAAAATTGAAAATCAAAATGTGTCAGATAATAAAAGAATTCTTTCCAAAACAGACTTGAGACCCATCCTACCACACTTTGATCTTTATTCAACTTTGATAAGATTGAAAATATCTTTGTCTAATTTGATGAAGCAGAAATTAGGTTTGCAAAAATATAGTTACAAGCCAAGGTCCGTGGAAACAAAGGAAATAAATAAATCCCCAGCTGCCAAAAATTAGTACGCTAAAAGTTTGGCTTTTGTGTCTTCACAGAATTCTCCAAAACTCTTTTGCCCTAAAAACAGAAGTTTTGACATAGATGCCATCTACAGTGTGATAGATGATGCCAAGCAGTATGTGTACATCGCTGTCATGGACTACCTGCCTATCTCCAGCACAAGCACCAAAAGGTCAGTGAATGCCCAGCCTCTGGTTAGAACCCAGTCCCTAAGACCAGGCACTAAACTGGGCACCACAGGAGAAGCCAGCCTGGAAATGGAGATGCCATCAGGTTGCCTTAGGAAGAGCACACCATTCATTGCTGTTTAACATGCATTGGCAATTTACTCATTACGGAGCTTTTCCCAAAGTGGGTCCATTTTGAAGGCTCATGGTCTCACCCTACAGAAGTACCTCAGTAGTTTACATTATGGAAATGAGAGTAACTTTCAAAAGAAAATTAGGTTGCTCTCAACTTGAAAATTATTTGAAAGGATAAAAGATAAAATATTATATGAAAAAAATTATCATTTGAAAATTATTAACAAGTATATACCTGAAAAGGGCATATTGAAACAGAGTAGTCTTGCCAGACTTTCCTTAAAGGAAGCATTGTTGTTTTATATTCACAGCAGTCTTCATTTAATGCCAAATTCTCATAATATCTTCTCAGTGTAAAGGAGAAAGAGGCCATGTGCGGTGGCTCACGCCTGTAATCCCAGCACTTTGGGAGGCCGAGGCGGGCGGATCACGAGGTCAGGAGATCGAGACCATCCTGGCTAACATGGTGAAACCCCGTCTCCACTAAAAATACAAAAACAAAATTAGCCAGGTGTGGTGGCGGGTGCCTGTAGTCCCAGCTACTCGGGAGGCTGAGGCGGGAGAATGGCATCAACCTGGGAGGCGGAGTTTGCAGTGAGCCAAGATCACGCCACTGCACTCCAGCCTGGGCGACAGAGCAAGAATCCATCTCAAAAAAAAAAAAAAAAAAAAAAAGAGAGAGAGAGAAAGAAACTTCAAATATCTATGTTCTCAGTCAATCCATCCCTCTCTGTGAAAAGAGAACAGTTTAAAAATGCAGTGCTTTTCAATAATTCATCATTGCTTAAGCATGCAAACACGGAATAAATTCAGGGATGGAATTTATGACAAACTCTTTGGGAAATCATTGCATGCATAAATGCGTGGCCATGCTTAGGTATTCCCACTTTTGCTTTCGTGCTGGGAATGCAGAGGTGCTTGAATAATTAGTTTGATCCAGGAAATGTTTTCAAAGTGCATATTTTGGGGAGTGCAACCCCAGGCCTTTTTAATTTGGAATATTACAGTTTCAAAATAAGCATTTACTGAGGCTAAATGATTAAGTGTGCCCTTTATTGCTTGAATAATTCTTACATCACCAACCCTACATAATGCATAGTAGGTAGCTTCTTTACGCAAATAACCATAGGATTACAAAAAGAGTCCTTCCCCCAGAAAATGATCATTTCTTATAACAGCTAGTAGAAAAGCACTTTTAGCTGCAAGATTCATATTATTGAAATACTTTTATTTTAAAATATTGTGCATCTTTACAAAAATTAGCTGGGTGTGGTGGCGCACGCCTGTAATCCCAGCTACTCAGGTGGCTGAGGCAGGAGAATCGCCTGAGCCCAGGAGGTAGAGGTTGCAGTGAGCCAAGATCACACCACTGTACTCCAGCCTGGGCAACAGAGTGAGACTCCATCTATATATATATATACACATATACATACATACACACACACACACACACACACACACACACACACACACACAGTGCATCCTTTGGACATTCATGGATTTTTTTCACCGCACACTTCCACACCTTTTCTATCCCTCCTTTTTATTTTTCCTCCCTTTGTTGTTCACTTGGTTTTAGATTTGGTTTTAGATTTTACCTCTACTTTGGGAACGTTTCAAAACGTAATAGGGGTTTTGCCTGATTTTCCTGTTATTGAGAAGGAGAGTAAGGTCAAGTTCAGGGAGTTATATGTTAGGATGGCATAATGATTTCTCAGGATTGACAAAACCTTTGTTCCATGAAGTTCTATGAACAAAATTGAGATTCTTCCTGGTCAAGAGGTAAATAATTAGCACGGAGGATCTAAAATATTTTAGAAATCTAAAATCTAGAGAAAACAAAATGAATGTTAAAGAATCAGAGACTCACTTGAAATTTTGCATTTTGGTTATAATCTACCATTTCAGCTATTAAATGAAACTTCTTTTATTGTATTTTTAAAATTTTAAACCTGTAAATGCTTTTAACTTTCTAAATTGAAAGGTCATCAAAGAGACATAAGTAGTCGTCCAAGCATCAAGATTATAATTAAATTCTTCTCAATCAGATAAATTAATTACTTGTATAAATTCAGACTGGTTACTCATCTTTATCTAGTCCCAGAAAAGCTTTTCAGGAGTGAATTCAACTTTAATAAATAGGTAAATACTATCAAATTTCAGTATGTTAATGGAATTAATCTTTCAGACTTAACTTTTAGTCTATACATTGCCAAACATCCAGATGAAAGAGAAAAAAAATCATACACTCCCAAATCAGAAATGATTAACAGCGTGTAAAAAAAAACAGACACTATTATTTAGCAATAGTGTTAGAAATAACTTCTAGTTTTCAAGGTAGTAGGAAGGGAATGGAACAATGATCTGTGACTAAATAAATCCTACAGGAAAAATTCAGAAGCCGGCCAGGCACGGTGGCTCACGTCTGTAATCCCAGCACTTTGGGAGGCCGAGGTGGGCCGATCACCTGAGGTCAGGAGTTCAACACCAGCCTGGCCAACATGGTGAAAACCCATCTCTACTAAAAGTACAAAAATTAGCTGGGCATGGTGGCAGACACCTATAATCCCAGCTACTCGGGAGGCTGAGACAGGAGAATCGCTTGAACCTCGACAGCCAAGGTTGCAGTGAGCCAAGATCACGCCATTGCACGCCAGCCTGGGCAACAAGAGTGAAACTCCGTTTAAAAAAAAAAAAAAAAATTCAGAAGCCCTATTTCACTTCTTCCTGATTTAGCAATCAAGCTCTCTTTCTTAAGCAAGTCAATTATTTAGGTCTCAGTTTGGGGTTGTTCATTATTTATTTCTTCAGTCACATAAAATATATCTTTCACAAGGAAATTAGTAAATGTGTAAAGGAATAATAAAAATGTAGCCTGATTAGCCTTTGAAGTGTTAATGCTTTTTATTTATGTATTCATTCAACCATTGGTGTGTGTGTGTGTGTGTGTGAGACAGAGTTTTGCTCTTGTCGCCCAGGCTGAGTGCCATGGCAAGATCTCGGCTCACTGCAACCTCTGCCTCCCAGGTTCAGGTCATTCTCCTGCCTCAGCCTCCTGAGTATCTGGGCCTGCAGGCACATGCCACCACACAGAGCTAATTTTTGTATTTTTAGTAGAGATGGGGTTTCACCATGTTGGCCAGGCTGGTCTCGAACTCCTGACCTTAGGTGATCCACCCACCTCAGCCTCCCAAAGTACTAGGATTACAGGTATGAGCCACCGCGCCTGGCTTCAGTCAACAAATATTTATTGAGCACTGTGTACCAGTGATTAAAGCATGAACAGCATATGATCTCAACCTCCATCTAACAGGACAGGAAGGAGACTATTAGAACACAGAGGTGTGAATGGTACAATGAATGCACCTGAGGCTGAGGCAGGAGAATCACTTGAATGTACCTGAGGTACATTTAATGAGAATTAATGTCATTTAATTCTTATGTTAAAACAAAAAGCTTTCCTGTCTTAAGGACCAAGCCTTAAATCACTCTTCCTCCCCTTGGCCCTGACATTTGTAGACCTTTTGTTCACTCATCAAACTCTTGCCCTAATTCTGGGCCAGTTCAGTATTGGAACTAATGATACACTATTTGAAACTGTAGCCTGCCAGTGTCATGATCATTGCACCTCTAAAGGTCTCTAATGGCCTTTATGATAATATAATAATATAATAATAATAATATATAATATAGTAATATAATATCTATATTATATATAATAATATAATAATATAATGTGATTCTCCTGCCTCAGCCTCAGGTACATTCATTGTACCACTCACACCTCTGTGTTCTAATAGTCTCCTTCCTGTCTTGTTAGATGGAGGTTGAGATGGTATGCTGTTCATGCTTTAATCATGATGAATATCACCTTTAGAGGTGCAATGATCACCGTTCCTGCCTCAGCCTCCTGAGTGCAGAATATTACAGACACTAGGTGAAAGAGCCCCGCGGCACAGCTTCAGGGTTAGAAGAAGCCCATTGGAGGAGATGCTCACTGACTTATAATTCAAAATATTCAGTTTCCCCACAAAAATTTCTTGAAAAAAAATAATGAGGAATTTGTCAGAAAAGGGTGAAAAATTTTCCCAGTGGAAGGGACAGCATGAGCCAAGTTTCACATGTAGAGAAAAAGAGCTCAAGGTAAGGTGGTGAGAGATCTAACTGGAGAGGGGGCAAGGGCCAGGAACCAGAGATCCTGACCACTGGGGGAGTCTTGTGACTTTGTGGAGCTTCCACTTTATGGATTTTTGTGGGGGGTGGCATTTTTTTGTTTTGTTTTGAGATGGAGTCTTGCTCTGTCACCCAGGCTGGAGTGCAGTGGCACAATCTTGGCTCACTGCAACCTCCACCTCCTGGGTTCAAGTGATTCTCCTGCCTCAGCCTCCCGAGTAGCTGGGATTACAGGTGCATGCCACCATGTCCAGCTAATTTTTGTATTTTTATTAGAGACGGGGTTTCACCATGTTGGCCAGGCTGGTCTCAAACTCCCGACCTCAAGTGATCCACCGCCTTGGCCTTCCAAAGTGCTGGAATGACAGGTGTGAGCCACCGTGCCGGCCCCACTGTTTTAATTCAAGAAGTAGCATCACCAGGTCTGCTTTAGATGGATCACTGCGGTGGTCATCGATGAAGTACATGACTGGAGGCAGAGAAACCAATTTTGAGCACAAGGCTGAGATGATCTTTCCTGTAGTCCTCAGCTTCATGGGTATAAAACCAGACAAAGAAAACTGTAGCGTGGATCCAGGATCTAGATTTTTGCCAAGAGCAAGAGGAAGGTACAGAGGCAAGTATCTTTCAAGTGATCAGAACTGAGATGAGGCTGGGCAGGCAAGGGAGACAGGAGGAGCTGATGGACCGGGCAGATTGAAGGCATCATGAATCTGCAGCCTGCATGTGATGAAAAAGCAATTAAGAGAGTGGGGAATAAGGACAGGAGGCCTTTAGAGGTGCAATGATCATGACACTGGCAGGCTACAGTTTCAAATAATGTATCATTAGTTCAAATACTGAATTGGCCCAGAATTAGGGCAAGAGTTTGATGAGTAAACAAAAGGTCTACAAATGTCAGGGCCGAGGGGAGGGAGAGTGATTTAAGGCTTGGTCCTTAAGACAGGAAAGCTTTTTGTTTTAACATAAGAATTAAATGACAGTGCTGGAAGTGACAGTGTGTGTTGGGGGCCGGCAGAGGCAGAGTGGGAGTCTGCCCCACATCATAAGCCAAGTGGCCAGGTCATGGTAGAAAATGCACGCAGAAATCCAGGAGAAGCTGTGGCCTCAGGGAAGAAATCAGGATCAAGTTAAGGCAAAGGCTTAAGGATTCAGAGAAAAGGCCAAGCCTGTTGGGGAAACTTTGCCTGTTGGAAGATTCCAAAGACCCTGCAGAAAACGTGGAAGGCAGGGGAGACATGGGAGGCTTGGTAAGGAGACACCACGGTAAGACAGTCGGGAAAAGGAAGTGTGGGGAAGCTCAGATGACCAGAGCGTAAGTTCATTTCGGGGACAATCACCAAAGAGAGGTTTTAGTGGCATTTGGGGACTGAGGGGGTGCTCAGGGTTCCTAACTGGAATTCGATTGGATAATCAGTTCTTAGTGGACTGAGGCCCAGGTAGCGTCAGAGATGTAGTAAGGGTGGCCTGTGGAGGCAGTCAGCCTGTCCTCACCCCAGCCCACACAGCCCAAGGACCTGGTGGTAGGAAACCTCCTTTTAGGCAGGGGCAGGTCCCAGCAAATCATCATTTCTTGGTGCCTAAGCTAAGATGCTTGTATGTTTTTCAGCCTCTCCGATGAGGTTGCTTATATATATTACAGGATAAAGTAATGATCTGAGTAATATCAATGTTCTATGCTGTCTAGTAAATTTCTTTTCCCAAACTAACTTAGTTTATTTTTTCTATTTGGATATGATTTCTGCAGGACTTACTGGCCAGACTTGGATGCAAAAATAAGAGAAGCATTAGTTTTACGAAGCGTTAGAGTTCGACTCCTTTTAAGCTTCTGGAAGGAAACTGATCCCCTTACGTTTAACTTTATTTCATCTCTTAAAGCGATTTGCACTGAAATAGCCAACTGCAGTTTGAAAGTTGTAAGTATTACGTTGACTGTGTTATTAAATAAAAAGTGAATGCCCTCTGCATGTGTGTGAAAGCTGCAAGCATACGCCTATGTGTAAAGTTCCAGTAAGAACCAGGACGGCAATCTTCAAAAAGCACGTTAAGTAATTTTTTCAAAACAATCACATACGAAAAAAAGAGTAGAGCTCATGTTTCCTGATGCCTCCTCCGTCCAGCCCTCTTCTCACTTTCTGTTGCATCCTTTCCATTTTCTTTTTTCTTTTTTTTCTTGAGATAGGGTTTTGCTCTGTCACCCAGGCTGGAGTGCAGTAGCACAATCCCGGCTCACTGCAGCCTTGACTCCCAGGCTCAGCTAATTTTGCATTTTTTGTAGAGATGGGGCTTCACCATGTTGCCCAGGCTGGTCCTGAGCTCCTGGGCTCAAGCAATCTGCCCACCTTGGCCTTCCAAAGTGCTGGGACTACCAACATGAGCCACCGCACCCGGCCCTCTCCATCTTCCTTGAACGACCCCATTCACCTACTGCTCCTATTTCTAAGACTGTGACCAACAGAGCACTGGAGCATGCAGCAGCACACAGACCCCCCGCCCAGATGCCTCGTCGTCTGGGTCCCCATGCTTGCCCCAGGTCCCTTGGGCCACGTACTAATCCCCCTCTGGAGACCTTGAGGGAGGTAAGATTGGGAATTAGCAATACCTGAAATGTGTTAATTCTCTAGGTCATGTTTGACTCTACTCCAGTCCTCGTCGCCCTCTTCCTCCACCCCAGACTTGGTGCAAGCTATTCCCTCTGCCTACAACACTCTTCTTCTCCATGTTTACCCACCTCATAACCACTGATCCTTTAGGCCTCAGCTTTTCTCAACCCCCATGCAGCCATTCAACAGAATCTGGCCTGTGGCAGGCTCTCTTCTAGGTAACGAAGCTGCATTCCTTGCAGCATTTAGGGACCCAGGGTATCAAGGGCTCCGCAATTAACTTTGACACATGGCTTCCAAGATCGCCCTGACCCTGAATATCCCAAGGCCAGACAGGAGAAGAGCGAAATTGGAGGGCTGTGTGAGAGGCATTTTGGATTGGGACTGGAGGTAGGGAACATCCCTTTAGCCTTCATTCCACTGCCTGGATAGCTTTCACATGGCCATGCCTAATGGCCAGGGAGGCTTATGACCATGGTCAGAAAGTCAGCTGTGTTTCCAGGGTGACAAAGGAACAGGTTTGTGAATCATCATGGTCTGAAGTTCCTGGTACACGGGATCCATTTCACTCATCTTGCCTCATAGAGAACCCTCATTCTCACCTCCCACAAGGGAGAAAATGCAAAGTTTCATGCAGTCACTGCACAGAGTCTTCCAGTGATGTGCATTTCTGGACATCAAGCCTGAAAGCGGTACATCATAGTTTGTCAATGTAAAAACTAAAATAAAACCGTAACAATTCCCCACCACACACCAAAAAATACCTAACATCAGGTTAATGTTACCTCCCTCCCTGAGTACAGAAACAGGATACGCACAAGGAAAACTGCCATTAGAAAGGGAAGGCTTGGAGGCCCATGGCAGTTCCTGGTCCACAGCAATTATAAAACTCTTCTGGGCAGGTACTGTGAAGTCCTCATACTCCTGCTGGTTCAAACCAAGGACCCAAGGTTGTTTTAAGGCATGAACAGTTAAAGGAGTTTGGGGTCCTAGCATGAGCTGGTTGGTTTCTTGGGCAATGCAAGTTTCTCAGAAATGTAATAGGTTCTGATGTACTTGTTTCTAGTTATTTCCATGTATCCATAGCCATGTCCAGAGTTTCTTGTTGTACATAATTCCCTAACTTGATGAATTATGCTTTCTAGTTCATAGACTTCTCTCTCTCTAATGATAGAGTTTATGCAAAACCATCAGACACAGGTGGGAAGATTACACCTATTATTATTACACCAATTATTTCATCTTTTCTACAGGGCTCAGTCTTAACTGGCCACTTAAAGGATTTTTCATACTTATTTTCTATTATTGAGCTTTAGGTACAATCAGCTTTTTCAACCCTGTGAAATACCAAATTTCTGGGTGATCTGTTCTCTATATCATTTATATCATTTATAAACTAGCCCTTCCTTCCCTGAGCCTATTTATCTCCTCTAATAAGCTTTTTAAAAGCACAACTAACAGGCCAGGCACAGTGGCTCACGCCTATAATCCCAGCACTTTGGGAGGCCAAGGCAGGTGAATCACTTGAGGCCAGGAGTTCAAGACCAGTCTGGACAACATGGTGAAACCCCATCTCTAGTAAAAATACAAAAATTAGCTGGGCGTGGTGGTGCACACCTGTAATCCTAGCTACTTGGGAGGCTGAGGCACAAGCATTACCTGAACCTGGGAGGCAGAGGTTGCAGTGAGCCGAGATTGCACCACTGCATTCCAGCCCGGGAGACAGAGCAAGACCCTGTCTCTGAAGGAAAAAAAAAAAAACCAACACACAGTACAAACAATTCATTTCCCCAGTCCCTATAGCCGAAGCCCTATAAGCCAAAGGTTCAGTGGTACTTGGTATTCCTTCCAAATAAATGCTGGCTATGTTTTTACCAAATAGTTTGTCACTGTATAACATGAGTTTTCATCTCTCCACCCTACAATACCAATTTACTTGCTGCCTGCTGTCCATTGAGTAAACCAATGCTACATCGTTTATTAAGTTTTTGTTGTGTTGCTGTTATGACAGAACCACTTCACATTGCCTGAACTTAGTAAGTACTTAATACTTTTTAAATAAGTGAAGGAATGTGTTAGATTCATGAATATTCATGAGTATATACAGTTATCCAGGCACTGAATTAAATGCCTTCTATAGATTATATAATATTCATAACCACACAGCCAGACATGTGGCTTATGCCTGTAGTCCCAGTGTTTTGGGAGTCCAAGGCAGGAAGTTCATCTGAGGCCACAAGTTCAAGACCTGCCTGGGCAAAGTAGGGAGACCCCCATCTCTACAAAAAAACTTAAGAGATAATAATATTTACAATTACCCAGTGAAACAGGTACTTTCCCTATTTTATAGACATGGGAACTGAAGCATACATTAAATAACCTCTCTCAAGGACACTAGTGAGTAATGGGGCAAGACTCAAACCCAAGTCTTTTGAACTCCAGAACCTGAGCTCTTAAACATGTCTCCATGGCGTCTGCATGTAGAAGAGATCCTTGCAGTTACAAAGTCCTTTTTAATCTTTCTTATCTATATTAAGAAACATCACATACACCAAGGTGCAGTGGCTCACACTTGTAATCCCAACACTTTGGGAGGCCAAGACAAGTGGATCACTTGAGGCCAAGAGTTCAAGACCAGCCTGGACAACATGGCAAGACCCTATTTCTACAAAAAAAAAAAAAAAAAGCAAAAACTAGCCAGGTGTGGTGGTGCATATCTGTAGTCCTAGGGACTCAGGACTCAGGAGGTAGAGGCAAGAGGATCACTTTAGCCTAGGAGTTCAAGGCTGCAGTGACCTATGATTGCCACTGCACTCCAGCCTGGGGACAGAACAAGACTGTCTCGAAGCAAAAACAAAAACATCATATACTGCATCTGCTCAAAGATATGAGAAGCTACACATCCGAATTATATCCCTGAGGATCAAAAAAAGAATCAGATAAAATGTTTGTAACTCATTCATGCCATTAAGATATTTTAAATTTTATTTTTCATGAAATTATTAACAATTTAAATACATAAAAATTTAGAATTTACTGTAAATTTCCAAAAACAATGCTTCTCACCTGTGTTTTCATCTTAATCTCCCGAATAGTCTGGTAACATTGATGGATAATAGAAATTCTGATCTCTACTTAACTGGTTTTTGTAAACTGAGGAAATCATGCACATATCTGTGTAGTCACAAATCAGTGTAAGTATTGGAAATAAAAACATGACTGTGATTACTACCACAGATCTGTTTTCCAGGCCAGATTTTCAAATAAATGAAACAACCAGGAGTTGGATCAGGGCACCAACCTGGGTTTGGAGTCAGGTGCCCAGTATCAGAGGAGAAGCAGGTGCAGTCCTAGGAAGTCAGAGACACAGGAGAATGGAGTCTAATTGTGTTCAATACCTTTTCACAGACAAGAGAACTCTTGGGATTGATTCAGCTCCGAAACAGCATTTTCCAGATAATTACAGTGGCATACGGAGCTCCAGCAAAAAGGAAGTGAGAAAAAGAACAGGTGTCTAGTTCACCAATGGCTCACATGACGCTTGGTGGAGTTTTCAAAACATACATGTTGAATGAGTGCATGCATGAACAAATGAAGTCAAAGAAGGGAGCTAATAAAGGCAGAGTAATAAGAAAGATTCTGCAAGCCAGTGAGGGGACAGGGCAGAACCCAGGACAGTGCCTGAGTCCAAGGTGTGGTTAGCCATTTTCTGCAGGTGTGCGCTGGGGAAGGGTGACCATGGGTGAAGAGGCTGCCCAGTGAAGTCATGCACTCTGGAGGTCAGTACACTCGCACTCAGAGGAGCCCCTGTTATTCGTGAGGTCTAGCAGGAACAGAGAGGACAGTCTGGGACTTTTGGTATACCATATGGTACATTTGCTCCAATCTCCTTTTCCAAATTCTCCTCTGGCCAAGTCACGGGTCCATGTCCACCCACTGTTTCTTGACCCCCACAGCACACCTGCCACTAGGGCACCTGCAGTCAAAACTTCTAGGGCGTGAAATGTCAACTGCTCTCATTTAAGAATTACAAAAAATTACAAGGAAAGTAGCATCCATCATTGCAACCTTTACAGTACTTAATCAGCTTCATCTTTTTGATGTTTTTGATCATAGATGGTCACTTTTTTTTTAATAAACTAAACATTAGTAGTTCACATATAGCCATTTTATAAAACAGAGGCCATACACTTCTAAGCATCAATACAAGCCTAGATGGGCAAGAAGCTTATGGCCCTAATGTCTAGAACACAGATGGGTGATAAACTCTTACAAGAAAAGTGAGGATTGGAATCTTGCATAGAGCATGTCTCCAGGAGCCTGGGAGCACTGACAAAGCACATGGCCTGGGAACTAGGTAGGGAATCTCTGTCCTTAAAGGAGTGGGCACCCCCACCTCCAACCACCTCCAGCCCTGATGTGGGCTTATCTCCATGAGGGACTCATGAAAAGAGAAAAGACTGTGAAGCACAGAATTCTCCCAGTCAGCTGATTTTTTAGTTTTTTTTAACAAATTAATAAACCCCTTTTGAAATGTCTTTGCTGTCACCCACAGTGTATTAGGTGTCGAATAATACCAGTGAATAAAACCTCATTTCTGCTGTCATTTTAGTCTTCCAGAGAAAGCTGTTTCCCCTCTTAAGGGCCGTCTTTGACTTTCTAGAGCAAATGGGTTTTTACTAAAGCCTCAAGCTGTGACTCTATCCTTGACTTAACTCAAGATGTATATTTTATTCTTTTTGAAATCCATCTTGATTCTACAATAATATCTTTCCCAAAAGGAAACAGTCACACGTGTGGCCACGTGTTGTGATATTATGTCCAAGCGAGGTGACTTCTGGCTGTTATTGATGGTGATGCCCTCAACATTCATGTGACCTCATGAACATAAAACTGTGACTTAAGAACATTCACAGGTTATTAAGTCAGTCTGAAGAGTCCAGAAACCAATGCAGATTTTACAGAAGACAGGAACTGAGGACACTGGGTGAACCAGGTATCATTGTCTATAACCGTGGTGATAGGGCCCTGAGAGCCACACAGATAATGTGTTTACCTGTGTTGTGGAATAGACAGTTTTTAAGTAGTAGATTTTGATCTCTGCTCTGTGGACCTCAAGGGTTTTACAAAAAATCAAAATAGAACTTTTGTGGCTAGAAGGGATCTTACTGATCATCTAGTTTATCACCGTTCTACCACGCTAGGGGAGGGGGAAGTCCAACTCTCATTATTTCCTCAAACCAAATGTGAACACTTACAGTTTTAAAACTGTAAATGACATCTCCTTTTCTAGGTATCATGCCATTTTCCTCCCTGCCTCTTCTTTCCTTTAAATACACGATTCTATAGCTGTAAGACATTCCACAAGGTTCCACGCAGTTCTGAAAATACTCAACATTTTCCCATATAGGGGATACCTGATATTTTCACCTTTGACTAGTGTCTTCCAGTGAGCTGAGTCATGGAGTTCCATGAGCTTAGCCACAGTTTAAGCCTCATCTGAAAATTTAGCCAATTTCACAGACCCCTAAGGCATGGCCTGGCCATTCCTGCAGTCATCCCCCTTCTTTCAGCTGCCCCATTCCTGGCCTTGGGTGAACTGGAATGTCACCTTTTGAGTCAATAAAAGTTGAAATTCAGAATTCACGGTTTGAAGTTGTGATTTTTTTTTTTTGAGTTGTCTATCAAAAGAGCTCCTAGACTTAGGTGTTCAGACAGAAAAGTATTTGTTCCTATGTTCCTATGGCAAAGTCTCTTTTGACCTTGGCAAATCCCCAGTTTAATCAGCTAGTCATTGACATAATGTATGCAACATGTAAGAATACTCATTCGGTTCATTGCCATGCTTGGCAGAAAGCACCCTGAGGCATGCTTCAAAGCTGGCACCCCGATGAATAAGACAATGAGAATTAAACAACCTTCTGGCCCTTATCCTGCTGAAAAAAGAAAACGAATTTTGTGTTCATTTTGTAGCTTAAAAGTGTTAATTATATACCTAGTTGAGCACGCTAATTTTCTCTTGTTGCCTATTTAGATTTGAGAACAAAAATAGCTTCATCTATATGAGGTAATAAGATTATGGCTTTCATAACCCAACTTGAGGTCTATTGTTGACATTTGGATAATGCATTCTTTTGTGCTCTTGGACAAGACCAGAAACGTTCCTCTTATTTACCTGCCCCCTTTTTTTTTTTCTTACAGAAATTTTTTGATCTGGAAAGAGAGAATGCTTGTGCTACAAAAGAACAAAAGAATCACACCTTTCCTAGGTTAAATCGCAACAAGTACATGGTGACAGATGGAGCAGCTTATATTGGTAGGTGTCAGGGCTGTGAAGCTCCTTGGGTGGGGGTCACCCAGGGAGTGGTAGTCCAGCTGTGCTCCACGGTATCCCCTGGTGAGGAAGCAAGGCCTTGGGAACCACTGCTGGTGAATGAGGGGAAATGGAGATGAGGAAACAGGACGGTAAGGACAGGGAGCTCATCATTCAAATATCTCTTCCATGGCCTGATTTATGTACTAGAAGACATAGAAGATGCCTTTCCATAAATGTTTTCCAGAAATTTTCTGGTCCATTTGCCTCATTGTACAGGCAAGGATGAGAATGGCTCATCAAAGGTGAGTCCTGGCACAGGAAAGAGCAGTGTCATCCCCCTGCCCACAGCACCACAAGCCAGCCTGACATGAGTGATGGGAAGGCAGGCAGTGGAGTGGTTCAGTGCCGAAACTCCCAATTCCCAGCCAATTATCCCATCCCTGCTATCTTCCAAATGTCCCACTCTGTACAATTTAACTTGAGCTCTTCAAACCTCAGTTTTCTCATCTGTAAGATGGGGTTAATAATAGTAACTACTTCATTGGGTGAAGTGTAGAAGAGACAAAATGTGCAAAGTACCTAGCACATAGATAATACCCAATTAATGCTAGCTATTTTTATTATTAAGGTTAAACAGAGACCCAAGGGCTGGAATCATTCTACACTGGTGTAATTATTAATACATCAAACCTATTCTAGTTTTCCATGATATATATGAGTCCATGATAACCTTTTAACTAGTACCATCACAGGCAGTTAAAACGATCTATCAGAAGGTACATAAATCCAAAAACAGCAGTGTAGTGATTACATTGTACAGATGAAGCAGCAGTCTTAAGGCAGAAAGAAACATGTTCATGGAATATAGAAATAGAAAATCTGTATCAATTTCTTTTTTTCAAATTCAGTGAGTAAAAAATGTACCCTTTTAACTTTGTAAAGCACTTGATTCATTTCTCTTCGCAACATCACCAATAGGGAGGGCAGCTTTTATCATCTGCAGTTTAGAAATGAGGAAACTTGGACCCTAAGACTTGGAGAAATACAGATGTTAGGGGGAAGGAGCCGGGTCTGGCATCCAGGGCCCCCAGTCATCTCACCCACTGCCTCCCGCCCCTGCAGACACTGCCACTGGCCGTGTGGGTAGTCACTAACTCCCAGACTCAGTGTAAACGTATTCTTTTTCCATTTTCAATATCACATTAGAAGAGAGTATTGGAATATTTTAAAGATATATATCTGGCTGGGTGCAGTGGTTCACACGGTAATCCCAGCCACTTTGGGAGGCTGAGGCAGGTGGATCACCTGAGGTCAGGAGTTCAAGACCAGCTTGGCCAACATGGTGAAAACCTGTCGTTACTAAAAAATACCAAAAAAATTTGCTGGACATGGTGGTGGGTGTCTGTAATCCCAGCTACATGGGAGGCCAAGGCAGGGAGAATTGCTTGAATCTGGAATGCAGAGGTTGCAGTGAGCCGAGATCATGCCACTGCACTCCAGCCAGGGTGACAAGGTGGGACTCCTCCTCAAAAAAAATAAAAATAAAAAACTAAATAGGCCAAAAAAATGTCCCTGTCTGACAGCTTTGAAGAGAGTGGTGGTTCTCCCAGCACACAGACTGAGATCTGAGAATGGACAGACTGCCTCCTCAAGTGGGTCCCTGACCCCCAAGTAGCCTAACTGGGAGGCACCCCCCAGTAGGGGCAGACTGACACCTCACACGGTGGGGTACTCCTCTGAGACAAAACTTCCAGAGGAACGATCAGGCAGCAACCTTTGCTGTTCACCAATATCTGCTGTTCTGCAGCCTCCACTGCTGATACCCAGGCAAACAGGGTCTGGAGTGGACCTCCAGCAAACTCCAACAGACTTGCAGCTCAGGGTCCTGACTGGCAGAAGGAAAACTAACAAACAGAAAGGACATCCACACCAAAACCCCATCTGTACGTCACCATCATCAAAGACCAAACGTAGATAAAACCATGAAGATGGGGAAAAAACAGAGCAGAAAAACTGAAAATTCTAAAAATCAGAGCACCTCTCCTCCTCCAAAGGAACGCAGCTCCTCACCAGCAATGGAACAAAGCTGGATGGAGAATGACTTTGACGAGTTGAGAGAAGAAGGCTTCAGACGATCAAACTACTCCAAGCTAAAGTAGGAAGTTCGAACCCATGGCAAAGGAGTTAAAAACCTTGAAAAAAGATTAGATGAATGGCTAACTACAATAACCGATGCAGAGAAGTCCTTAAAGGATCTGATGGAGCTGAAAACCACGGCATGAGAACTACGTGACGAATGCACAAGCCTCAGTAGCCGATTCGATCAACTGGAAGAAGGGTATCAGTGATGGAAGATCAGATGAATGAAATGAAGCGAGAAGAGAAGTTTAGAGAAAAAAGAATAAAAAGAAACGAACAAAGCCTCCAAGAAATACAGGACTATGTGAAAAGACCAAATCTACGTCTGATTGGTGTACCTGAAAGTGACGGGGAGAATGGAACCAAGTTGGAAAACACTCTGCAGGATATTATCCAGGAGAACTTCCCCAATCTAGCAAGGCAGGCCAACATTCAAATTCAGGAAATACAGAGAATGCCACAAAGATACTCCTTGAGAAGAGGATCTTTGACAAACCTGACAAAAACAAGAAATGGGGAAAGGATTCCCTATTTAATAAATGGTGCTGGGAAAACTGGCTAGCCATATGTAGAAAGCTGAAACTGGATCCCTTCCTTACACCTTATACAAAAATCAATTCAAGATGGATTAAAGATTTAAATGTTAGACCTAAAACCACAAAAACCCTAGAAGAAAACCTAGGCAATACCATTCAGGACATAGGCATGGGCAAGGACTTCATGTCTAAAACACCAAAAGCAATGGCAACAAATGCCAAAATTGACAAATGGGATCTAATTTAACTAAAGAGCTTCTGCACAGCAAAAGAAACTACCATCAGAGTGAATAGGCAACCTACAGAATGGGAGAAAATTTTTGCAATCTACTCATCTGACAAAGGGCTAATATCCAGAATCTACAAAGAACTCAAACAAATTTACGAGAAAAAAACAACCCCATCAACAAGTGGGCAAAGGATATGAACAGACACTTCTCAAAAGAAGACGTTTATGCAGCCAAAAGACACATGAAAAAATGCTCATCCTCACTGGCCATCAGAGAAATGCAAATCAAAACCACAATGAGATACCATCTCACCCCAGTTAGAATGGCAATCATTAAAAAGTCAGGAAACAACAGGTGCTGGAGAGGATGTGGAGAAATAGGAACACTTTTACACTGTTGGTGGGACTGTAAACTAGTTCAACCATTGTGGAACTCAGTGTGGCGATTCCTCAAGGATCTAGAACTAGAAATACCATTTGACCCAGCCATCCTATTACTGGGTATATACCCAAAGGATTATAAATCATGCTTCTATAAAGACACATGCACACGTATGTTTATTGTGGCACTATTCACAATAGCAAAGACTTGGAACCAACCCAAATGTCCAACAATGATAGACTGGATTAAGAAAATGTGGCACATATACACCGTGGAATGCTATGCAGCCATAAAAAATGATGAGTTCATGTCCTTTGTAGGGACATGGATGAAGCTGGAAACCATCATTCTCAGCAAACTATCACAAGGACAAAAAACCAAACACCGCATGTTCTCACTCATAGGTGGGAATTGAAAAATGAGAACACACAGACACAGGAAGGGGAACATCACACACCGGGGGCTGTTGTGGGGAGGGGGAGGGGGAAGGAGGAGGGATAGCGTTAGGAGATATACCTAATGTTAAATGATGAGTTAATGGGTGCAGCACACCAACATGGCACATGTATACATATGTAACAAACCTGCACGTTGTGCACATGTACCCTAAAACTTAAAATATAATAAAAATAAAAATAAAAAATAAAAGTCCAGACAGTAAAATATTTTCAGTTTAGCAGACTAAAAAAAAAAAAAAACAAAAAAGACTTAAAACAAACAAACAACCAAAAAACTAAATAGGCTGGGTATGGTGGCTCACCCTTGTAATCCCAGCACTTTGGGAGGTTGAGGCAGGTGGATCACCTGAGGCCAGGAGTTCAAGACCAGCCTGGGCAACATGGTGAAACCCCGTCTCTACTAAAAATACAAAAATTAGCTGGGTACGGTGGCATATGCCTGTAATCCCAGCTACTAGGGAGGCTGAGGCAGGGGAATCGCTTGAGTCCAGGAGGCAGAGGTTGCGGTGAACCAAGATTGCGCCATTGCACTCCAGCCTGGGTGGCAGAGCAAGACTCCATCTCAAGAGGGAAAGAAAAAGAGAAAGGGAAAGAGAGAGAGAGAGATCGATCTTTCGATCGATCGATACTTCTGACCTTCTGGTGGTGCTCCAATATGAGAATATTGACTGGGTGCAGTGGCTCACGCCTGTAATCCCAGCACTTTGGGAGGCCAAGGCAGGCGGATCACGAAGTCAAGAGATTGAGACCATCCTGGCTAACACGGTGAAACCCCATCTCTACTAAAAATACAAAGAATTAGCTGGGTGTGGTGGCGGGCACCTGTATTCCCAGCTACTTGGGAGGCTGAGGCAGGAGAATGGCATGAACTCGGGAGGCGGAGCTTGCAGTGAGCCGAGATGGTGCCACTGCACTCCAGCCTGGGTGACAGAGTGAGAGTCCTCTGTCTCAAAAAAAAGAAAAAAAAAGAGAGAATATTATTTCATTCCTGTTGTCACTCTCAGTGACCCAAAACGTGATTATTTTGATTTTTCTCATGTGCACCAACTTATGGAGAGTAATATGAAATCAGCTGCAAGTGATTAAAAACAACCCCAAAATCATTTAATAAAAATGGGAACTTTTGGCTTAATCATCAGGGAACCCAGGGATGGTTCAGGTTTTAGGCACGACAGGATTGAGGGACTCAAATCTGGATATTTTACATGTGGAGTTTAC
The DNA here is from genome assembly GCF_000001405.40 of Homo sapiens. NCBI lineage: Eukaryota > Metazoa > Chordata > Mammalia > Primates > Hominidae > Homo > Homo sapiens. The sequence goes on along the minus strand of NC_000001.11, from coordinate 242,095,705 downwards.
TTAAAGTAAGATGTTGTGTGTCAATTCAGCAGTGACTTGTACCTGTATCTAAATGTTCTTTTGTGGGAATGTTTTTTAAAAAGGAGATGAGGGCTTAAAAATTAAAATTAAAAAAATAAATACCTGAAACCAGGAATTTTTAAAAAATGTACTTTTGATGAATTAAATGTTTTAGGCCGGGCGTGGTGGCTCACACCTATAATCCCAGCACTTTGGGAGTCTGAGGCAGGTGGATCACCTGAGGTCAGGAGTTGGAGACCAGCCTGGCCAACATGGTGAAACCTTGTCTGTACTAAAAATACAAAATTAGCTGGGTATCGTGGCACATGCCTGTCCTCCCAGCTACTCAGGAGGCTGAGACAGGAGAATCGCTTGAACCCGGGAGACAGAGGCTGCAGTAAGCCAAGATCCCATCAGTGCACTCCAGCCTGGGGAAGACAGAGTAAGACTCCATCTCTAAATAAATAAATATGCCGGACGCGATGGCTCACGCCTATAATTCCAGCGCTTTGGGAAGCTGAGGTGGGTGGATCACAAGGTCAGGAGATAGAGACCATCCTGGTAACAATGTGAAACCCCGTCTCTACTAAAAATACAAAATATTAGCCAGGCGTGGTGGCGGGCACCTGTAGTCCCAGGTACACAGGAGGCTGAGGCAGGAGGATCGCTTGAACCTGGGAGGTGGAGGTTGCAGTGAGCCGAGATTGCCACTGCACTCCAGCCTGGGCAACAGAGCGAGACTCTGTTCTTGATAAAATAAAATATTAAAAAATAATAAATATATATTTTAGAGTGAGACAAACCTATATTTGAATTCCAGCACTGACACTTACAAGCTGAAAAATGGTAGAAAGTCACATAATCTCTGTAAGCCTCTATTTTCTAATCTGTAAACTGGGGATAATAGCACCCACCCTTCAGTGGTGCTATGAGGCTTAAACAAGATAGTGTATGAAGAGCTCCTAACACTGTCTCCGATCTATCCATATCTTTAGGCAATATTGATTCCTGGCTCTCTCCTTTCTTCTTCCCTCTATAATACATTTTTAAATGAGTGAATTTTACACATAATATTTTAGCAAAATGTTAATTCCCTAGACTGAAGCACAGTTCTAGTATAAAAATACTCAACCCTAGAAGAAAAAAAAATCCATCAATAATTTAAATAATTATCAGCATGTTCTGATCTCCTAAGTCATCACTGAGATACTTGCTGAGAACGCAGAGTTGAGAAAAATCCACAGTGGACCTTGCATGGAATCACTGCTCCACTAAGTTTTCACAAGACTTACAGAAGAATCCCCAAACAGTGTCATCTCTCTAATTTTGAAATCTCCAGGGTACATTTGAGTCAAGCTCTGCAAACTTGTCTAGAAGATGGTTTGAAGGATTGGAGGACTGACAAGGGGGTAGCGGGTGGATGGAAGGCACTCAAAAGTCCCCTGAAGGCCCATGCACCTTCCCAGCGAGCTCTCTTGCAACCTCATCATCATGTCCCTCTGGGTGACACTACAGTTCTCCTGGCAACTGGGGCCTCAGCATGCATTTTTGGAAGCTGCAGTGGTAGTCTCAAAAAAAAAAAGCTGGATGAAATTGCATCCCAATTAAAAAAACACTGAAGCATATATGTGATTTTGAAGTCAAGCCAGACGGTCAGGAAGTGAAAGGTAGAAGAGCATGATCACAAAGGTGCAGGAATTCCTTTATCGGCCTGTGGAAAGCTTTCCAGAGCCATGATTCCTGAGATGAGCCTAATTAAAGCTTTTGAGCATCAGTAAAGATGCTGGATCTTGGCTCAATCCATTGAATTTGAAGGAAAAAAAAAGCTATATTTCATAGAATAAGTCTTCAAAATCTTGTCACCTCTCTCCATCATTTTCCCCCCACCCCAGGCTGCCCCCGAAGCATATTTCCATGTATATTTCCTTCAGAGAGAGTGGTCTGCACATGCACGTAGCAGAATTCTCAATGTGGCTATGATGCTCCTGACCTCGGGGGTCGACATTGTAGTCCAGGGTGAAGCACACAATTCTTAGCACAAAGGATGCCTTTAGGATCAGAGGCAACATGGAGTACAAGTAAAGGGTGGACCCCGGGGTCAGACCTGGCTTTGAACCTCAGCTCTGATATTTTTCTATTCCCGCTTTGGACAAATTACTTAACCCTTCTGTGCCTTCATTTCCTCATCAATACGATGGCGTTTGTATTACCACCTCAGAGGACGGCAGTGAAGATTGAAGAAATAATGTAATGAGATGATATATTGACTGCCCTTGTTACAGTGCCTGGCAACAGCTGTGGGGATGAGAGTTTAGTGTCATATCCAAAAGCCCTTAAAAGGCATGCAAGACCACAGGAGCCTTTTGCTTACGGAATGAATAGAAGATACTGCCTGGCAGGGGACACCTGAGCAACACTCAACCCACGGGAGCTACTAATCCCGTTTAGAGATCCAGTCCTGTATTTACCTGGCACTGAGCATTTGCACAGAAC